>NC_000009.12:107766006-107917521 GCF_000001405.40 Homo sapiens
TTGTGTTAAGCAGCCTTTGGTGTGCAGAGGTTAATAATGAAGGCATGTGGGCAGAGCTTCTATAAGGACAATTATAGGGGTAATACCCTGTACCTCTCAGAGTTGTTGTGAGAATAAATGATGTAAGTGCCTGGTGCTTGATATATATAAATTTGTTTTTTTTTTTTTTTTTTTTTCAGAAAATCAGGCCAGGCATGGTGGCTCACAACTGTAATCCCAGCACTATAGGAGGCCAAGGCAGATGGATGGCTTGAGCCTAGGAGTTTGAGACCAGCCTGGGCAGAATAGTGAGACCCTATTTCTACAAAAAATACAGAAAAATCAGCCAGGCTTGGTGGCATGCTCCTGTAGTCCGAGCTACTCGGAAAGCTGAGGTGGGAGAGTCACTTCAGCCTGGGAGATCAAGACTGCAGTGAGCAGTGATGAAACTACTGCACTCCAGCCTGGGTTTCAGAGCAAGTCCCTGTCTCAGAAAGAAAAAAAAAAGAAAAAAGAAAACAAGTCAGTATTTTCCCCCCAAAGAAAGGCTCATGGGAATCTTACAAAATGAGGTTTTAGGAACCAAAATTACTTCATGTAGTACTCTCTAGTAAAGGCAGAGGATGCAAATGTTGCAGTGGGTCTCTGGTCAGCCGCCATGAGTCTCTTGGATCTAACACTTGCTCTCTTCAGACTTCAGTTTCCTCATAAGGTGAGAACAAGGCTGTATCTCAGTGCTCTGGGCCTGCTCACACATCCTGCTCATATGAATGTGAGAGCCACACCAGCCCTCTGGGAAGTAGTCCCTCAAACAGCAGCCCAGTGCAGGGGGAAGGATGCAAACACTACAGGCAGATCAGTTTAATCCACTTTTGGGCAGGGTGACCTTAGGAAAGCCCATTTCCTTCTGCCTCAATTGTCACCTCTGTAAAATGGAAACAATAATATTTATTTCCGTGGCTGTTTGGAGGATTACATAAAATAACAAATACAGTGGCATTCCATTTTTCTGAGGCAATTATGTTCTATAAAGTCACTGCAAACACTGAATTACTGGAATAGTGAGCCATTGCTCTTACTGGAAATACAGGATTAGGTTCCTGAAAAATCTCTGGTCACAACATCTTTGTCAACTGATCAATACATAACCATGATGTATGTGTGTTTCTTTTTAAAGGTACCTTATTTAATATCATTGTTGATTCATTAATATTAAACTCATGCCTAAGAATACTTTAAGTCATATCTGAATGAAGCGTATCTAATATGTATATTCTCTCTGAAGGTACATCACTGCTCTCTTGCACTTAAACACACCAGACAGCACTTCAGCACTATATCTGGAGACCATTTCAAACAGTAAAATCTCCAATAAAAGCAAAAAAAAAAAAAAAGTGAAATTTATGGCACTAAATAGACTGCAGAAAGGACACCTGTTGATAGGATGAGAGCTGAAAAAAAAGGTAGAGGGCCGCAAGTGATGGCTCACACCTATAATCCCAGCATTTGGGAGGCCAAGGAGGGTGGATCACCTGAGGTCAGGAGTGTGAGACCAGCCTGGCCAACATGGTGAAACCTCATCTCTACTAAAAATACAACAATTAGCTGGGCATGGTGGCATGCACCTGTAATCCCAGCTACTCAGGAGGCTGAGGCAGGAGAATCTCTTGAACCCGTGAGGAGGAGGTTGCAGTGAGCTGAGATCACGCCACTACACTCTAGCCTGGGTGACGGAGTGAGACTCCATCTTGGAAAAAAAAAATAAAAGAAAATAAAGAAGGTACAGCATGGCCTCGCTCAGCTGGGAATGTGTGTGTGCATCAAGCAACTATTTTTTTTTGCTGTTCTGTGCTTGTCTGTGAACAGCCATGAAAATGCCGAAACACTGCACATGTTAATATTGGGGTTATAAGTAAATTTAGCGAGTAAGCAAATTTGCAAATATGGAATCTGCAAATAATGATTTGACTGTGCTTAGTAATTGGCCAGTAAAAAACTGGCAGCTTATTATATTATCATCAGGGAAAGCATAGGGTCTGGTAAAGATCTGTTAGGGTACACTAGGAATCCAAACTCCAACTGGTGCCCATAGGAGTGGGAGGGAAATCTGCAAGTGTGGAGCCCCTCAAATCAATGCTCCAGGGAGCCTTGAGTCCCTCTGTCACCTCTCGGCCAGGTCTCCAAGAACTCCCTAACTCCTTGGACTTAACTCTTGGATCTCCCTGACAATTGCAGTAGGTGAAAACTCCAGGGCCGCAGCAGGAGGCTGCTGCATTTGATGTCGAGGCTGTTGGCCCTCTCTATGCCTAGGATAAGCCCCGTTTGGCCTGGTCCAACTCAACCTGGCTCAAACGGCTGCATGCCATTGCTCGTAAGCACAGGCCTGTATCCTGCCATTGTTCTGGGAATGACCACGGTGGGACCGACCGGCAGGAGAATAGCACTACAGATAGGGAGTGTGTTTCCAAACTGCAGGGTCACAGGGAAAAAGAAATTGACCTGTTCCACATCACACCACCCCCTTCCTGCTCTCCACCCTAACTCTCCGGTCAGGTGACCAGAGAAGCCCCAGGGGGTCCTTAACCTGGATTTGTGCACTTTCCCAGGAAGCCAGCAGGAAAAGAAAGGGAACTCCCATTTCTCAAGCCTTTCTCTGTGCCAAGCCTGGTGCTTGCCACTTTCCATTTCCTGCCTCGTGGAGTCCTCCCAATAACCCTGCAGTGTCCAGACCATCCTGGGTTTCAGATGAGGAAACTGAGGTTCAGAGTGGCCCAGTGAATAGCAATGAATGCAACCCCATTTGACGTTTGGCAGCATTAACTCATTTTGAGCCACAATGCGGGATTCTGTTACAGAGACTTTTCAAAGAGCATAAAAGAGTTGCATAAAAGCGACTTCACAGGGGCCCTGTAACAATCATTAAGATAAAATATAATAATAATAATAAGAGCAATAACGACAACTTCTGAGTGTTTTCTAAATGAATAAACTATACTAAGTGCTTTACATAACTTTCCCTCAATTAACCATTTCTGCGACATTCTGAGTTATGAATTATCATTATGCCCATTTTACAAATGAGGTATCTGAGGCTCAGAGATGTAAGCTGACTTGCCTGGGGTTACGGAGGTCATAACTTAGAAAACAGGGGAGCGGGGGACTAGAATCCAGAGCCTCTCCTCTTACTTGTCACGCTAGAGGCTGGGGCCAAAGTGGGGCCCCTTTCTCATTCTCAATCCCCCTCCCATACCCTCGGTGTCTCTTTCATCTCACAGTGCGACAGGCAGCAAAGGTTGCCAGGAGCCCCAGTCCCTTCGTCTGCAGGAAGAGGCCAGAGCCTTCTAAACCAGAGGTACTGTGCTTGCTGCTGCTGCTGCCTGGTTATTCCCATCCCTTCCTGCTCATTAGCCTCATTCTCTTCCTCATCCCCACCAGTTTCATCCCCATCATGCTACAGGGCTCAAAAGATTCCTACTCTCCCAGCCTCCTTTTGGCTCCAACTTGTTCATTTTTAGAGTTTCTTGTAAGCTCCAGGACTTCTGTTCTGTTAGCCTTTGTTTCCACAGAGAAGGACAATGAAAGGACCTACCATTTATTGAAGTCCTACTGGATGCTGGGCACTGTGTTAAGCCACCATGCCCAGTGATGAGTATTACTACCACCCTTTTACAGACGAAGTCACTTGAGAAAGATCAAGTCACTTCCCCAAGATAACAGTGGATGATTCTCATAGAGCTAGAATTGGAAACCTGGAAAAGAATTACTGAGGAATCCTTGGTTTTGAAAGAATATCATCTGCTTCCTTTTCTCTCCTCCATTCCCTTCCTGCTAGTGTGTTCATTAGTGTTTTAATGGGGTGGTTTTCTTAGGGGGACTATGAATTTGGAGCTTTCATCTGATGGCCCACCAATACTTGCAATGGGATCAATGAGCTCTTCACACTCAGGAGGTACCCAAATTGCATGCACATAGAGTTTCTAAGTATTTCTTGATCATCTCTCACTGCAAGGCCAACACAGAAGCACGCATACAATCCCAGCATCTTCTCTCCTGTCCTGATCTTGGGGGTGGGCGGTGAGGGTAATAGTTAAATTGTGGGAGGTAAGGCAGATGGATGGGAGGTGCTGAGCTCCTGACTTGCAGCCCTCATTCACGCCCTGGCTGATGCAGGCTTCCTCCCACTTGCATTGTGCTGACCACATGGCCTTGTCATGGAAACATAGACTGGAGCCTCATGAGCAGGCCAAATCTCTCCCTCCCTCAGGACACTGCTGGAACAAGAGGCTGTGGAAAGCCTCGTTTGGCACTGGGAAAGGTAGTCTTGGGCTTTGGAGCCAGAAAGACCAGGGTTGTGTGGTCAGTGCCACAGTTTATCTGAGTGACCTTGGGTAAGTCACTCTACCTCTCTGAACTCCAGTTCCCTCACCTATAAAATGGAGAAAATAATGCAAACGTTATAAGGCCAGGAATTTAGCAAAAGTATGTATTTTGGTAATAAACCAGGTGCTCAATAGATGTCATTCTCCCTCCTTCTCTTCCTCTTCAGAGCAGGATTAGGGTGAGAAGAGCTAAAAGAAGGTGTCCAAATCCACTTTTCATCAGCCACCTTAGGACAGAACTAATTCCCTGCCCAAAGGCTCCTGGCCAGAATGACAATCAGTCCAAAGCTGAAGAGTCTTCAACTGATCAGAGGCATAGATGAGCTTAGCCCACCTTTTGCCTTCCTGAATTAAAATAAAACCTCTCACTAGAGATACTAAGGGAAATCCTTTAGAAGCTGAAGTCAGTGAGAATGAACACAATAAAGAATTTTGGACATGGTTTACATTTTATGCATGCTATTATTAAATGTTGAGTAAAATAATATGTTATCTTGAGTAGGGATTAAGACCAGAGGCCCTGGAGGCCATATGTCTATACATTCAAATTCCTGCTGGCCCTCTTATTAGCTGAGTGACCTCAGGCAAGATATTTAATCTCTTTGTGCATCAATTTCCTGATGTGTTGATAGTAAGAATGAAATCTACCTCATAAAGTTGTTATAAAGACTTAAGAAATTATTATATGTAAAATGCTTGGAGTACTGAATAACACATAGAAAGTGCTCAATAAATAATATTTGTTTATGTATTTTATTTTACTGAGGTAGAGACTGAGTCAAAAAAAGACTAGATAGATGCCTCAGGAAAAAAGGGAGAGAAGATTCTACTTCATTAATTAGTATTCTATGTTGTTTTGTTTGGCAGCTGCTTAATTAAAAACTTCTGTAATCTTGATTAGAACTATTAATCAGTGTCAATGATTCTTTATAAATTGTGCCAGGAGTATGAGTATTAAGGTTTTGCATTTATTAGGATGAAAAATTGCCCCCTTTAACCAGTAGTTTTATAAAACTGTTAAGAACTGGAAGAGACTTTGAATATAGGAGATTGAGAGGATTGCTACCAGTAAGGCCATGGACAACTTGCTTCTGCAGAGTGATGTTGACTTGAAGTTTCACAATTATATAACCTTCATTCATTAATTTATTAACTCAACCACATTTCATAAACAGGCACTTGCATTAGGCACTGTAGCAGGCCTACAAATAGAGAGAAAAGAAGGCCAGTCCCTGATCCCACAATGCTTGAAGTCTGCTGGGGAGATAGAAGTGCAAATGGACCATGACTGCATTGTGATCAATACCTTAATGGAGACACAAATGAGATACCGTGAAGGTGCAAGTAATGGAGTCCCAAGTCCATCAGGGGAGGCTTCACAGGGTAGTGAAGGTCATGCAGTGCATTCATGGCAGTGATAGACAGTTATCCTCACCCAGTGTTCTCTCACTGCCTCATGCTGGCTTTCCTACCAAGCATACCTCAGTGAAAGGTCCCATAACCTGAGAGCTAACTGAATTATTGAATGTTTATTAGGAGTCAGGCACTGTGCTAGGCACTTCACATAAATTATCTTATTTAGTTATTGCATTGGCCTTACAAGGGAAGTGCTATTATCTCCAATTTATAGATGGGAAAAATTAGACTCAAAAAAGGTTAAATAAATGTAGTAAAATCACGCAGCTGGTGCAGAGTAATGGCTGAGCTGTGGCTTAAATGCAGGTCTCTCAGGGTCTGTATGAGTCTTTTCTCACAGCTATAAAGAACTACCTGAGATTGGGTAATTTATAAAGAAAAGAGGTTTAATTGCCCCAGTTCCACAGGCAGTACAGGGGGCATGGCTGGGGAGAGCTCAGGAAACTTACAATCATGGCAGAAGGGCAAAGGGGAAGCAAGTACGTATTCACATGGTGGCAGGAGAGAGAGAGAGAGCAAAGGGGGAAGGGCTACATACTTTTAAACAACTAGAACTCATGAGAACTCACTCTCTATCACAAGAACAGCAAGTGGGAAATCTTCCCCCATGATCCCATTACCTTCCACCAGGTCCCTCCCCCAACACTGGGATTACAATTCAACGTGAGATTTGGGTGGGACACAGAACTGAACTATATCATTCTGCCCCTGGCCCCTCCCAAATCTCACGTCCTTCTCACATTTCAAAACCAGTCATGCCTTCCCAACAGTCCCCCAAAGTCTTAACTCATTCCAGCATTAACTCAAAAATCCAAGTCCAAAGTGTCATCTGAGACAAGGCAAGTTCCTTCCACCTCTGAGCCTATAAAATAAAAAACAAATTAGTTACTTTCAAGATACAATGGGGGTACAGGCATTAGGTAAACCTGGAACAGAGAGAAATCAGGGTTTTTAGTGTGTTTGGCAGAAGACATTTCTAGAGAAATCGACCAAAACAAAGGGACCACAGGCTGCATGCAAGCCTGAAACCCAGCAGGGCAGTCATTAAATCTTAAAGCTCTGAAATAATCTCCTTTGACTCATGTCTCACATCTAGGGCATGCTGATGCAAGCAGCAGGGTCCCATGGCCTTGGGAAGCTTCACATCTGTGGTTCAGCAGGGTACAGCCCCCTCAGCTCCTTTCATGGGCTGGCATTGAGTGCCTAAAGCTTTTCCAGGCACATGGTGCAAGCTGTTGGTGGATCTACCATTCCGCGGTCTGGAGGATTGTGGACCTCTTCTCACAGCTCCACTAGATAGTGGCCCCGTGGAGACTCTGTGTGGGGGCTCCAACCCCACATTTCCCCTTCACACTGTCCTAGTAGAGGTTCTCCATAAGGGCTCTACCTCTGCTGCAGACTTCTGCCTGGATATCCAGGCATTTCCATACATCCTGTGAAATCTAGGCAGAGGATCCCAAACCTCAACTCTTGCAGTCTGCACACCTGCAGGCTCAACACCAAGTGGAAGCCACAAAGGCTTGGGGCTTGCACCCTCTAAAGCAATGGCCTGACCTGTATATTGGCCCCTTTTAGCCATAGCAGCAACTGGAGTGGCTGGGATACAGGGCACTATGTTCTGAGGCTGTACGGAGCAGCAGGGCCCTGGACCTGGTCCATGAAACCATTTTTTCCCTCCTAGACCTCTGGGCCTGTGATGGCAGGGGCTGCTATGAAGGTCTCTGAAATGCCTTGGAGGCATTTTCCCCACTGTTTTGGCTATTAACATTTGGCTCATCTTATGCAAATTTCTGCAGCCATCTTGAATTTCTCCCCGGAAAATGGTTTTTTCTTTCCTACCACAAAATCAGGCTGCAAACTTTCCAAACTGTTATGTTCTGCTTCGCTTTTAAATATAAGATCTCTTTACTTGTGGAAGTGAGCGTAGGCTTTTAGAAGCACCCAGGCCACATCTTGTATGCTTTGCTGATTAGAAATTTCTTCTGACAGATATCTTAAATCATCTCTCTCAAGTTCAAAGTTCCACAGATCCCTAGAGCAGGGGCACAATGCCTCCAGTCTCTTTGCTAAAGCATAGCAAGAGTGACCTTCACTCCAGTTCCCAGTAAATTCCTCATCTCCATTTGAGACCACCTCAGCCTGGACTTCATTGCCCATATAACTGTCAGCATTTTGATCCCAACCATTTAACAAGTCTCTAGGAAGTTCTAAACTTTCCCTCATCACCTTATCTTCTTCTGAGCCTTCCAAACAGTTCCAAACTCTGCCCATTACCCAGTTCCGAGGTCATTTCCACATTTTCAGGTATGTTTAGAGCAATAGCCTGCTCCTGGTACCAATTTTCTGTATTAGTCCCTTCTCACACTGCTATAAAGAACTACCTGAGACCAGGTAACTTATAAAGGAAAGAGGTTAAATTGACTCACATTTCCACAAGCTGTACAGGAGGCACGGCTAGGGAGGCCTCAGGCAACTTATGATCATGGCAGGAGGGAAGGGGAAGTAAGCATGCCTTCACATGGCAACAGGAGAGAGTGGGCGAAGGGGGAAGTGCTACACACTTTTAAATAACCAGCTCTCATGAAAACTCATGCACTATCATGAGAACAGCAAGGGGGAAATTCACCCCCATGATCCAATCACCTCCCACCAGGTCCCTCCCCCAACACTGGGGATTACAATTCAACATGAGATTTGAGCCAGGACACAGAGCCAAACCATATCAGGATCCAGTCCCTGTGCCAGCAAGGCTAATCAACTAGCTCTATTATGTTTTCACTGAGTCTATAATTCCACCTGAAGTAGAACCTTTACCCAGATGCCCTGTCTGAAAAGCCTGGGCTTTAAGATTATGTGATATGGAGGAAAGAGCTTAGGATTTGAAATGGTTTGCATTGTCCTATTGCCTTCTAGCCATAAGGTGCTTACTACCTAGAACCTAAGCTTAATCTTATGAAAAAATGGGCCTAGTGACATGCATATCTTTTCTTGGGGTCTTATGAGGCTTCCATGAAAGAAAAGAGAATAATTCTAAGACAGTATTTTATAAAAGTAAAATGTATGTTAAAGTATGTTATTGGAGAAGAAGTGTATTTTATAAAAATAAAATTTATGTTAAAGTATGTTATTGGAGAAGAAGTGTATTGGACAGGCAATGGAAAGTATCCTAGCTAGTTTAGGCAGAAAAACAATTTAATGTAAGGAAAATGATGTGTACAAAATCGTTGGAAGTTCTAGAAAATGAGCTCTAGATTAAAAGATAATTTTGAAATATAGTTTTTAGCATTTAATTATTATTAGTTTTTTGAGACATGGTCTCACTCCATTGCTCAGGTTGGAGTGCAGTAGTACAATCATGGCTCACTGCAGTCTCAGCCTCCTGGGCTCAGGTGATTCTCCCACCTCAGCCTCCCAAGTAGCTGGGACTACAGGTGCAAACCACCACACCCAGCTAATTTTTAAAAATATTTTGTAGAGACAAGAGACACAGTAATTGAAAAGAAAGAGGCGGCTCTCCCTCTCCCTCTCCCTCTCCCTCTCCCTCTCCCTCTCCCTCTCCCCCTC
The DNA here is from genome assembly GCF_000001405.40 of Homo sapiens. Classification (NCBI taxonomy): domain Eukaryota; kingdom Metazoa; phylum Chordata; class Mammalia; order Primates; family Hominidae; genus Homo; species Homo sapiens. Next base: position 107,775,345 of record NC_000009.12, read on the forward strand.
CCCCTCCCCCTCCCCCTCCGTCTCCGTCTCCGTCTCCGTCTCCCTCTCCCCACGGTCTCCCTCTCATGCGGAGCCGAAGCTGGACTGTACTGCTGCCATCTCGGCTCACTGCAACCTCCCTGCCTGATTCTCCTGCCTCAGCCTGCCGAGTGCCTGCGATTGCAGGCACGCGCCGCCACGCCTGACTGGTTTTGGTGGAGACGGGGTTTCGCTGTGTTGGCCGGGCCGGTCTCCAGCCCCTAACCGCGAGTGATCCGCCAACCTCGGCCTCCCGAGGTGCCGGGATTGCAGACGGAGTCTCGTTCACTCAGTGCTCAATGGTGCCCAGGCTGGAGTGCAGTGGCGTGATCTCGGCTCACTACAACCTCCACCTCCCAGCCGCCTGCCTTGGCCTCCCAAAGTGCCGAGATTGCAGCCTCTGCCCAGCCGCCACCCCGTCTGGGAAGTGAGGAGTGTCTCTGCCTGGCCGCCCATCGTCTGGGATGTGAGGAGCCCCTCTGCCCGGCCGCCCAGTCTGGGAAGTGAGGAGCGTCTCCGCCCGGCCGCCATCCCATCTAGGAAGTGAGGAGCGCCTCTTCCCAGCCGCCATCACATCTAGGAAGTGAGGAGCGTCTCTGCCCGGCCGCCCATCGTCTGAGATGTGGGGAGCGCCTCTGCCCCACCGCCCCATCTGGGATGTGAGGAGCGCCTCTGCCCGGCCGAGACCCCGTCTGGGAGGTGAGGAGCGTCTCTGCCCGGCCGCCCCGTCTGAGAAGTGAGGAGACCCTCTGCCTGGCAACCACCCCGTCTGAGAAGTGAGGAGCCCCTCCGCCCGGCAGCTGCCCCATCTGAGAAGTGAGGAGCCTCTCTGCCCAGCAGCCACCCCATCTGGGAAGTGAGGAGCATCTCCGCCCGGCAGCCACCCCGTCCGGGAGGGAGGTGAGGGGGGGTCAGCCCCCCGCCCGGCCAGCCGCCCCATCCGGGAGGGAGGTGGGGGGTCAGCCCCCCGCCCGGCCAGCCGTGCCATCCGGGAGGGAGGTGGGGGGGTCAGCCCCCCGCCCGGCCAGCCGCCCGGTCCGGGAGGTGAGGGGCGCCTCTGCCCGGCCGCCCCTACTGGGAAGTGAGGAGCCCCTCTGCCCGGCCAGCCGCCCCGTCCGGGAGGGAGGTGGGGGGGTCAGCCCTCCGCCCGGCCAGCCGCCCCGTCTGGGAGGTGAGGGGCGCCTCTGCCCGGCCGCCCCTACTGGGAAGTGAGGAGCCCCTCTGCCCGGCCAGCCGCCCCGTCCGGGAGGGAGGTGGGGGGGTCGGCCCCCCGCCCGGCCAGCCGCCCCGTCCGGGAGGGAGGTGGGGGTGTCGGCCCCCCGCCCGGCCAGCCGCCCCGTCCGGGAGGGAGGTGGGGGGGGTCAGCCCCCCTGCCCGGCCAGCCGCCCCGTCCGGGAGGTGAGGGGCGCCTCTGCCCGGCCACCCCTACTGGGAAGTGAGGAGCCCCTCTGCCCGGCCAGCCGCCCCGTCCGCGAGGGAGGTGGGGGGGTCAGCCCCCCGCCCGGCCAGCCGCCCCGTCCGGGAGGGAGGTGGGGGGGGTCAGCCCCCCTGCCCGGCCAGCCGCCCCGTCCGGGAGGGAGGTGGGGGGGGTCAGCCCCCCTGCCCGGCCAGCCGCCCCGTCCGGGAGGTGAGGGGCGCCTCTGCCCGGCCGCCCCTACTGGGAAGTGAGGAGCCCCTCTGCCCGGCCAGCTGCCCCGTCCGCGAGGGAGGTGGGGGGGTCAGCCCCCCGCCCGGCCAGCTGCCCCGTCCGGGAGGGAGGTGGGGGGGGTCAGCCCCCCTGCCCGGCCAGCCGCCCCGTCCGGGAGGTGAGGGGCGCCTCTGCCCGGCCGCCCCTACTGGGAAGTGAGGAGCCCCTCTGCCCGGCCAGCCGCCCCGTCCGCGAGGGAGGTGGGGGGGTCAGCCCCCCGCCCGGCCAGCCGCCCCGTCCGGGAGGGAGGTGGGGGGGGTCAGCCCCCCTGCCCGGCCAGCCGCCCCGTCCGGGAGGTGAGGGGAGCCTCTGCCCGGCCGCCCCTACTGGGAAGTGAGGAGCCCCTCTGCCTGGCCAGCCGCCCCGTCCGGGAGGGAGGTGGGGGGTCAGCCCCCCGACCGGCCGGCCGCCCCGTCCGGGAGGGAGGTGGGGGGGGTCAGCCCCCCTGCCCGGCCGGCCGCCCCGTCCGGGAGGTGAGGGGCGCCTCTGCCCGGCCGCCCCTGCTGGGAAGTGAGGAGCCCCTCTGCCTGGCCAGCCGCCCCGTCCGGGAGGGAGGTGGGGGGTCAGCCCCCCGACCGGCCAGCCGCCCCGTCCGGGAGGGAGGTGGGGGGGTCAGCCCCCCGCCCGGCCAGCCGCCCCGCCCAGGAGGTGAGGGGCGCCTCTGCCCGGCCGCCCCTACTGGGAAGTGAGGAGCCCCTCTGCCCGGCCACCACCCCGTCTGGGAGGTGTGCCCAACAGCTCATTGAGAACGGGCCAGGATGACAATGGCGGCTTTGTGGAATAGACGGGCGGGAAAGGTGGGGAAAAGATTGAGAAATCGGATGGTTGCCGTGTCTGTGTAGAAAGAAGTAGACATGGGAGACTTTTCATTTTGTTCTGCACTAAGAAAAATTCCTCTGCCTTGGGATCCTGTTGATCTGTGACCTTACCCCCAACCCTGTGCTCTCTGAAACATGTGCTGTGTCCACTCAGGGTTAAATGGATTAAGGGCGGTGCAAGATGTGCTTTGTTAAACAGATGCTTGAAGGCAGCATGCTCGTTAAGAGTCATCACCAATCCCTAATCTCAAGTAATCAGGGACACAAACACGGCGGAAGGCCGCAGGGTCCTCTGCCTAGGAAAACCAGAGACCTTTGTTCACTTGTTTATCTGCTGACCTTCCCTCCACTATTGTCCCATGACCCTGCCAAATCCCCCTCTGTGAGAAACACCCAAGAATTATCAATAAAAAAATAAATTAAAAAAAAAAATAAATAAATAAAAAATAAAAATATTTTGTAAAAAGGGGGATTTCGCCATGATGCCCAGGCTGATCTCAAATTCTTGAGGTCAATAATCCACCTAACTGGCCCTCCCAAAATGTTGGGATTACAGGCGGGAGCCACTGTGCCTGGCCTCATTTAATTATCTATAATCAGAAATATACTGAAGAGGCTCGAAAAGACACTAGGCAAACCCACAGTTTGGTTCAAATGCTTATATGCAGTGATTTAGCAGAGGACTCAACTTTGGCTATGCCAGATGGCCCCTTCTCCAAAGATGGAACCAGGAATACGTTGGCCTCTACCCTTCCTCATCCTACTGAGAGTTGAGGAGCAAGGAGTGGGGTGGGATTAGGAAGACTGGGACATCAAGAGCTTTCAGAACACAAGGACTGGCAAAGCTAGAAACCCTACAATAGGCAGTCAAGAAGAGCACCACAACTTTGAAAGTCAGCAGAGGAGAGCAGTGAATAGGATCAAGAGTTGAAGAGGGAGAGCAGGTGGAGATGACATAGAGAATGGAGCTACTCCATGCACTCTAAGACCAGCTCTGTTTGCAGCTGACTTTCAGTAACCACCATGAGTGCCATATGTGGATGAGTCAGTCCAGCTGAAAGGATAGGACATGGGACATAAAGAGAGGCCATGGGTTAAAACATACAATGTCTTCCTTCTCAGGAAGATCTCTGTGAAATAAAACATATTATACCCGCCTCTCTAGGACATTAAGATATGTATGTACTTCCAATACTTTCCTCATTACCATTCTATGCTTACATATTCACTTTCAAGCAATGATCAGTTTCATTTGATCAATGAAAACCAAATTTTCAGCTAAATGTAATTCATCTTAAACAGATATCCACACAAGATGAAAATGAAATTACGGGCTGGGCGTAGTGGCTCATGCTTGTAATTCCAGCACTTTGGGAGACTGAGGTGGGAGGATCCTTTGAACTCAGGAGTTCAAGATCAGCCTGGGCTACATAGTGAGAACTCACTTCAAAAAATAATAAAAAAAATTAGCTGGGCATGGTGGTACATGCCTGTGGTCCCAGCTACTTGGGAGGCTGAGATGGGAGGATCACTTGAGCACAGGCAATTGAGGCTACAGTAAGCCATGATCGTACCACTGCACTCCAGGTTGGGTGACAGAGTGAAACTCTGTCTCAAAAAAAAAAAAAAGGCCAAGTGCGGCAGCTCACACCTGTAATCTTAGCACTTTGGGAGACTGAGATGGGAAGATTGCTTGAGCCCAGGAGTTCGAGACTAGCTAGTGAGACCCTGTCTATATTAAAACAAAAAGAAAGAAAAAAAGAAAATGAAAATATTTTCTAACTTCATCATCATCATTAAAGAAGATCTATAATTAGAAATTAATCTCCCAGTTACCTTTTTTGTAAAGGCAGACATGGGATTTTTCTTAAGGCTTTGCAGTTCTTTTCTTATAAGCTGAGGATATATTCTTTTATAGTCATGTCAAGGCCATCACCACTGGTTGTCATGGAGATGGTTATGGCACCGTGGCAAGTGCCCCGTAGGCATGCCTGCTTTCCTAAGGACAGGATGGCTGGTGGTGTTGGTAGGGATGTAAGAAGAGGAAGGAGTAATTAAAAGTGATGAAAGTAACAAGCATGAGCAAAATTACTTCTTAAATTCTAAGGAGAGATTTCACAATTTTATTTAACATGAATGAAATAGATAGGCACTGTCTCAATAAATGATCACGGGTGGGGTGTCCCTGTGGGGAAGCCAGATTATGGTGCTGATTCTAGTAGGGGTGGTCCAGCACATCTGGCACCCTGGACTGTCTTTACTGGCTCAAGCAGGAAGGGGCTGGTGGGGCCGAGACTCTGGTCTAGGGAGCATGTCCAGACGGTAGCAACATTGCTGTTGCTTCTGTCCCGGTTAAAATTAGAGCCAACGGCATCTTGAGAGCACTTTCTCCAAAACTCGTTTCATAATTAGCAAAAGTGAGGCCCAGAGAGTTTCTGGGAATTTTCTCCCCTTATTTTGAATCCTGAATGTATAAAATTTTGAAAAAGTAAGTAATTGATTTGAACATAAAGGTCCTAAATATACAAATCCAAATGGTAAATGAACACATAGGAAAATATTTAGCTTCACTAATAATCAAAGAAATGCTAATAAAAAACTGGTGTACCATTTCTTTCCTATTTTTACAAATGTAATGCTAATGCTCAGAAGTAGAGGAAGTATGAGAGACTTGGGCCATCTCATTCTCTCAGGGACGACACGAATTGATTGGTGCAATCTTTCTAAAGGGCATTTTGGCAATACATGTCAATAAGTGTCAAGAAGCTTAAAAATGTACACTCAGTTTTTGACACAGCAGCTAGAATTTTAGAAATTTATCTTGTAAGCATATTATAGATGCACACAATTAGCCACAGGTTGTTCATTTTTTGGATACAAGATATGTGTTATAAATCATGAGACTATTTACATAGCATATTCATAAAATGGGATACTTGTCACTGTAAAAAAAATCTGGGTTCATATTTCGTTTTTTATTCTTATTTTATCTGGGGGTTTTTTAGTGAGCTGTAACACTTCGTCTTTCAGATTTATTTCCAAACTTTCTTTAGCATCATTTGCATTGGAAAGAGCAATGAGCTCTGGTGGCAGAAGATGCAGATTGAAAGTCCTCCTTCTACCCCTTTCTAGGGGTGTGGCTTCATAACATTTCAGCTCTCTGAGCCTTTGTTTCCTCAACGATAAAATGAAGTCAGAAATAATACCAAAGTTGGAGGTGTGTGGTGAGGATTCCTGAGCTCATATGTAAGAAAGGACCTCATAAACTCTTACATCACCCAGAACTCATGATTATGGTAATTTCTTCTGAATACAGTTGAAATGACAGCTAGAGCCCTCCCCTTGCTATAAGTAGGATTATTCTCAGAGAGTGCACCTGCTGCTCTTAGGTCTGTGGCAGAACGAAATTCCTGAGCAACCTGGACCTCTGTACCCCTCACCCAGAGTCTAACGCAACTTTGGCACCCAGGGAGCCTGGAAAACAGACAACAGTGAGAACATCCTGTGACCAAGCCATTTACAGCCACTAAATAGGGGCTAAGACTAGACCCTCAGCAGTGAGGGGAGTCACCTCAGACATCAGCACACAGCTCCAAAACTTGAGGGGTATGGCCACGATTACCACCATAGCTATGTGTTTCTTGTAATACCTGCTACATTTAAAACAACAAATCACTTTTTAAAACTAAACAATTTATTTACAAAGGAAGCTTTTATATCACTCTAATAAAAAAAATAGAGTCATTTGCTAAAACAGAAGTCAATCAAAACGCATGCACGATGATAGCAAAATAATGATATTAAATTCTAGCTAAACATTCTTGCCTTCTGAAGCTTTGTCCTAAGGAGTGTTCTCGGTTGAAGAGAAAAGAAGCAAATGTTAGAAAGCTGTTAAAGACAGGCTAGCTCCGATATGAGAATTTCTCCTTGACATATAATTCGAAGGATAAAAAGAGAGTTAAAACATGTTACCCTTTTTACTAGTGATTTTCTTTTAAGCCTGTGATTCCTAAAGTCTTCTCTCATAGGGGTTCTGCAACTGCTTTGTGCCCATTCTTTGAGAAATAATAACATAGTTAAAACCTTCCACCACCTCCCTGCCCATCTTATAGATGTGAAAACTGGGGCCCACACAAGAGAGGAAACTTGTTCAAAAGCAATGAGTGAATCAGTGGCTGGGCTGGGATGAGAATCCGGCGCTTCTGACTCCCAGCTCCATGTGCCTTTTACCAAACACCCCAGTGGATCTTGCAAGAAGGTTTGGTTTTGAATGATAAACAACATGAATAAAGCAAAGCTCTGAATTACTAAGTCTTTTGTCTTGGAAAAATTATAGCTGTTTTTTTGCGTTTCTGGTTCTGCATTCAGAAAACAGACCAAAAAAAAAATACAAAAAACAAAAAACAAAAACAAAAACAAAAACCCATGCCTCCTTCAAAGAACATGTATTTTCAATTATAGCTGTTCTTTGACATGACCTATTTTTAAGCATGGATTTCAACATGTAACTGAGAACAACACAGATAAAGCTGTTTCATCCAGTATGTCTCACTGTCCGATTCTAATTCAATATTGTCATTATTGCTGTACTGGCACTGCACTTTATATTTGTGCATTTCCTTATGTATCTTACATTTGCAGGGTGTTTTCATACATGCCAACCCACTTACTAGTCATCCTAACCACATGAGGAAGATGCTATGCTCTTCATGAGTCCAGCTGAGGATGCTGAGAATCTAGAACAGCAGCTTGGCCAGGGTCCCATGAATAGGAAGGAGAGGGATGGAGACCAGGACTCAAGCCAAAGCCAGAGTCTTTTCATTCCCCCACGTTGCCTCTTCCCTTCCTTTCCACCGATTTCTACCACTGTATATATGCACTGGGAGCAGCTGTGTTGGGACTGAATGATGGGAGGGAAAGGATCATGAGTTGAAAATAACTAAGGGTCCCCAGTTGAGAGTCTTTGGACTGAAAGGATTTACCTGGGGTAGTTTTAAGAACAGAAAATGCTGTAAGAAAGGAGGTTATGACAGATCTCAGACCCTCATTAGAAGGAGACCATCAGCAGTTTCTTCTTGCAAAGCGCAATTATGGTTTGCAAAACCTCAGTGAGATAAGCCACTTCCTCAAGAAAGTTTTTCCTGATTGCTCAAACAGAGTCATGTCTTTAAGTTATGGTCCCCTAGTGTCCTGCTCTTTTCTAATAATCTTAATAGATTTAAATTACTAATTGGAGTGATTATTTTGGCTTAATATCTGACTCCTCCACTTTCCTGGAAGTGTCACAGCAGCCGGGACGTATTTGTTGATTGCCGCTGCATCCTAGTGCCTAGCATTGTGCCTGAGATGTAGTCGGTGGTCAATTAGTATTTACTGACTGAATTAATACCTTGTGAGAAAGGTAGAGGAGTTACTCCAAGGCACACGCCATAGCAAGGTCATGGAGGTTGTGTAGTGCATACGTTTCAAAGTGTGGTCTGGGGACCCCAGGAGTCCCCAACAATCTTTCAGGGGGTCCTTGAGGTCAAAGCTATTTTTGTGACAATACTAAGATGTCATTTGCTTTTTTCACTCCCATTCTCTCATGAGCTTGGAGTGGCATTTTCTGGAGGCTGTTTGATGTGAGATGATGTTGTACTCGGACAACAAATGGAACGTGTGCTTGTGTATTCTTGAGCTTTAAAAATTTCACAGTTTTAATTTCTAATATGGTGATTGATATAACCCACAGAAACAAAAGTTCTTTGGGATCCTCAATACTTTTAAAGACTGTGAAGGGATCCTAAGACCCAAATGTTCAAGGACTGCTGACAGCGCGTGAGCACGCCTAGTGTCCAAAGGCCCGGGTTCAAATCTGGGATGTGTGTGTTCTTAGGTGAACTACATAAGCTCTTTGTGGCTTATGTCCTCATCTGCAAAACAGGGTAACAATAAAACTAATCATGTGGGGGTCTGGGCACGGTGGCTCATGCCTGTAATTTCACCAGCACTTTAGGAAGCCGAAGTGGGCGGATCACCTGAGGTCAGGAGTTCGAGACCAGCCTGGACAACATGGTGAAACCCCATCCCTACTAAAAATATAAAAAAATTAGCCAGGAGTGGTGGCAGGTGCCTGTAATCCCAGGTGCTCGGGTGGTTGAGGTGGGAGAGTCTCTTGAACCTGGGAGGCGGAGGTTGCAGTGAGCCGAGATTGCGCCACTGCACTCCAGCCTGGTGACAGAGTGAGATTCCACAGTCTCAAAAAAACAAAACAAACAAACAAACAAACCCCAAAAACTAATCACATGGGATGTAAGGTTGTTGAGAGGATTAAATAGGAATTGATTCCTATCAAAAGTAACTAGAATACTGCCTGGTAAACAGTGTTCTTTGAAGATTAGCTAGCATGGAGGCCCAGAGACATTGAGACCTGTTCAAGGTCCTACTGGAGTGGGTGGCAAAGCCCTGAGCCGTTGATTGGTAGGACTGAGGGTTTGTTTAGCTCCTCCCATGGCTGAACCAGGCAGTGGGGTGGGGGGCGGGCTTTCTCCCACATCTGAACCAGGAAGTCAGGAAGAAGGAGGTGCGATTGGTGACTGCACAACCAACCAATCCCTGTCTACAGGGCCTGAAAGAGGTGCTGAGCAGGAGGAAGAGAGCCCCAAGGACAGGGTCTTGGCCAGCTCGCCTGGGAAGGGAAGGGCTTTTGGGCACTGGGTGCTCGCACCTGCTTCTGAACACAGCAGGGCTGGCCCTGGTCAGGGAGAAGCTTCGATTCCTGGAAATGCACATCAGCACATTTGTTACTGTCTTATCAGCAGAGTGCAGAGGCAGCCAGAGAGTGAGGGACGAATCCTGTTCCTCGTGACGAAATGCCCTTCTGGTCAAGTATGAGAAATGTTTTAGGAATGAGTTCCTAGCCCTGGTGTGAAAACAGATGTTCGATTCTCTCTGTCTTTTTTTCCTTTCCCCTCTGACATAGTTCAGGAAGCCAGGGCAGGAGTCAAACGTTTGAGCTGCTCACAAGGGTAAAGGCCCTGGAGTGATGTCAGGAGAAAAGCTTCCAGGTCAGGCTGCAGGAGCTGGGAGAGCCTCCATCCATTCCCCCGTTCTGCAGAAGAAGAAACTGAGGTCTCTTTGAGAGGGAAGGAGGTGCCCACAGTCACACAGCTTGGCCAGGGCTCTCTTTGGCTAATGAAAGCCCGATATAAGATTGGCAACAGTCACAAAATTAGGACTGACAACGTTGAATGGGTCCATAAAAAAATGAGCTTGGAAAAAAATGATGACAAGGGCAAAAGGCCTATCTAAGAATTTATTTTTTATTCTTTAAAATAATTAAAATGTTATTTTTTCTCAAAAATAATATTTATAAGAGAATTGAAGCACTTATTGAGGGTATTCAGCCCCCACATCTGCCAGGTTGAAGGACTGACTCATGGAAATAGGTCAGGCTTTGGCATCAACAAGAACTAGGGTTAAAAGTTCTGGATCTGCCATTCAATTGTTGTGTGATCTTGGGCAAGTCTCTGAGCCTCAGTTTCTCCTTTATAAAATGGGGATCATGATACTTTCTTAAAAGGAATGTTGTGAAGAAAGTGGAATTATGGCTGGCCACAGTGGTTCACTCCTGTAATCCCAGCACTTTGGGAGGCTGAGTGGGTGGATCACTTGAGGTCAGGAGTTTGAGACCAGCCAGCCTGGCCAACATGGTGAAACCCTGTCTCTACCAAAAATATAAAAAATTAGCCAGGCATGGTGGTGCACACATGTAGTCTCAGCCCCTGGGGAGGCAGAGGGAGAAGAATCTGTTGAACCTGGGAGGTGGAGGTTGCAGTAAGCCAAGATTGCAACACTGCAATTCAGCCTGGGCGACAGAATGAGACCCTGCCACAAAAAAAAAAAAAAAAAAAAGAAAAGAAAAGAAAAGAAAAGAAAAAGAAAGTAGAATTACTATTAGAAGCTGACTATTTTAAATATATCTATGTGCCAAACCATATGTCATATTCTTTCATGGATTATATACATTGGATCATCCAAAGAACTCAATAACTGTTAAGTCTCATGCTACAGTAAGAATCAGAGGTGGGATTTGAACCCACACCATCTGACTCCACAGCCTGCATTAACCCATGTAAATTGCCTAGGACAACAACAGCACATGCAAGCCAATATTGGTGCTATGATCTGAATGTTTGCGTCCTCCCTTGCCCCCCAAATGTATATGTTAAAATTCTACCCCCAAAGGGATGGCATTAGGAAATAAGACCTTTAGGAAGTGATTAGGTCATAGGACGGAGCCCCCATGAACAGTATTTGTCCCCATAAAAAAGAAGTCGCAGAGAGCTAGGCTCTATCTATGAACCAGGAAGCAGGCCCTCACCAGACACGGATCTTGGACTTCCCATCTTCCAGAACTATGAGAAATAAATTTCTGTTGTTGATAACCCCATCTATGGGATTTTTGTTAGCAGCCCAAACAGAGTAAGACAATTGGTATGATTAAAGTAATCATATTTCATTTCACTTGGCTTACGTAGCATCACAAAGGCCTTATCACTCTGAGATCATCATTGAAAAGAAGTCAGGAAAGTAGTACCATGAAATATCTGAAGACAAAATCCAAAGTCTCTTTGGTATGTGGGATGAGTAGCTGTTACTGTGGTTCTAAGCTAGGAATGCCACCTTGAGGAGTTTGAGAAATATAAATGAGGTCTCCTGAGTCAATTTCTGTATCATAAAATTAAGGATGGCAATCTTACATTGAACCCCTATTATGGATATTCCCAGATGAACTAAACTATCTTATTACTGTGCTTTGAGCAGGAATTACACAACCCAGTGGAGAAACATTGGTTATCTCATGCTGGTCACAAGGTTAGGTTGGCATTAATATAATTGTCTCAATTAAAACAAATGGATCATTACGCAATAAACATCTTTGTTGTTGTTATTGGTTGCATCCTTTTGCAGTGTGTATGGCTCAAAGGAAAGAAGTCACAGCAGGGTCCCTCCACGATGACAAAGTTGGGAGCCACTCAGCTGAGAGTTGCAGCCATTTCAGGTTGTTATTTAAAATATATGTATTTATTCATTTATTTTATAGAGATGTGGTTTTACTATGCTGCCCAGGCTAATCTCAACAAACCTCTGGGCTCAAGCAATCCTCCGACCTTAGCCTCCTGAGCAGCTGGGAATACAGGCACAAGCCCCTGGGTCCAGCTTATTTCAAGGTTGTTTTCTTTCTTTTCCTTTTCTTTTTTTTTTTTTTTTTTTTTTTTGGTAAGATGGAGTCTCGCTCTGTTGCCCAGGCTGGAGTACAGTGGTGCGACCTTGGCTCACTGCAGCCTCCACCTCCCAGGTTCAAGCAATCCTCCTGCCTCAGCCTCCTGAGTAGCTGAGACTATAGGCATGAGCCACCACTCCCGGCTAATTTTTTGTTTTTTCAGTAGAGACAGGGTTTCACCATGTTATCCAGGATGGTCTCAATCTCCTGACCTTGTGATCCACCTGCCTTGGTCTCCTGACCTTGTGAGCCCCTGTGCCCGGCCTTCAAGGTTGTTTTCTGAGCAGAGACTGTCCACGTTGGCAAGGAAATTCAGAAAATGATGAATGATCCATTGATCTCTGATGTCTACAAAACTCCTGATTACTGAAAAGAAATGGAAGTACATCTGCTCCACTGCATCATTAAAGGAACAGGTGGAGAGTAGACAGGACTTGTTCAGGATTGCCAGGGAAATCCAGGCAGGTGTGGGGCTCCTGAGACCTTGCTCTTTTCTCAGTGGTTTTCAAATGTCTTGATGAGTTCTACAGAAGAGTTTTCTGAGCTCTTTGGACAGGAAGCCCTTGTTATTCAACAACCTGTGAAATCTTCCCTGAGAAGGTGACTTAAACTAATAAATAAATAAATATAACAAACAGAAAATTATATCATAGGTGCACAGCTTGATGAATTTTTATGAACTCATTCAACCAGCCCCCAGATACTAAAATAGGACATTACTAGCAACACAGAACCCCCCATATCGCGCTACCTTCCAGTACCTACCACTCCTCTAAGGGATTACTACCATCCTGACTTCTAACACCAAGATGGTTTGGATGTTTGTCCCCTCCAAATCTTATGTCGAAATGTGATCCCCGATGTTGGAGGCGGGGCCGGGTGGCAGGTGTTCAGATCATGGGAGCAGATCCCTCATAAGTGGTTTAGCACCATCTCCTTGGTGATAAGGGAGTTCTTACTCTGAGTTCATATGAGATCTGGTAGTTTAAAAGAGAGTGGCACCTTCCCCCTGACCTGTTGCTCCCACTTGCACCATTTGACACCGACTGCTCCCACTTCTGCCATGATTGTAAGCTCCCTGAGACTCTCACCAGAAGCCAAGCAGATGGTGGTGCCATGCTTGTACAGCTTGCAGAACCATGAGCTGCTTAAAAACTCTTTTCTCTATAAAGTATCCAGCCTCAGGTATTTCTTTATAGCAATGTAAGAACAGCCTAATACAAACACTATAGATTGATGTTGCCTGATTTTGACCTTTTTATAAATGAAACCTTATGAAGTGTACATCAGTTAAAGCTGTCTGACTTCTTTCACTCATGATATGGTTTGGCTGTGTTGTCACCCAAATCTCATCTTGAATTGTACTCCCATAATTCCCACGTGTTGTGGGAGGGGTCCAGTGGGAGATCATTTGAATCATGGGGATGGTTCCCCCATACTGTTCGCATGGTAGTGAATAAGTTTCATGAGATCTGATGGATTTATCAGGGGTTTCCAATTTTGTATCTTCCTCATTTTCTCTTGCTGCTGCCATGTAAGAAGTGTCTTTCACCTCCCACCATGATTCTGAGGCCTTCCCAGCCATGTGGAACTGTAAGTCCAATTAAACTTCTTTTTCTTCCCCGTCTTGGGTATGTCTTTATCAGCAGTGTGAAAATGGACTAATGAATTCAACATTATGTTTGTGGTATTTATTCATATTTTTACATGGAATTTTAGATTGTACATTCTCACCGCTGGGTAGTATTCTATCCTAAGAATTCATTGATCTATTCTACTGTTGATAGGCATTTGGTTACCATGCATAATGCTGTTGTGAACATTCTAATGTGTGTCTTTTTGTGCATGTGTGACCACATTTCTATTGGGTAGATACAGGAGTGAAATTGCTTGGAGAGGTGAATTTGAACTGAATTTAACTTTCCAAAAAGGGTAGGGGGAAGCTATTGCAGCAGAGGGCAGTGTCTGTGCACAGGCATATAGTTCAAAAGGGCGAGAAACATCTGGGGAACAGAATGACTCAGTGGGTTGGGCATATGGTGCCCATGAAGCCTGAGCAATGGGATGCTCTCTCTTCTGGGATGACCCGCCTTTCCCTCCTCACCTCTAACTCCTTGTTCTTCAGTCATTTCTAGAGCAGCTTTGAGTTCACCATTTCCTGGAGCTTTCAGCTGTCTTGAGTTAGTTGCCTCTGTCTGGGTAGTTACCAGAGTTTCTATAGCCTGCTATGATTCTAGTTAACACAGCACTGCCCCCACCATGCTGGCCTTGTCTGATGACCCACCTGTCTCCTCATTAGGCTGTGAGTTCCTTGAAAGGCAGAGCAGGGTTGGCTCAGTGTCATCGCTTTGTACCTTGGACCCACTCTGTCCTATCTCTGTCCTGCTCTCTGTCTATGAAGCTGACCTCTCTGGACTGCATCAAGAGGCACGCCCTTCCTTTGCTTCTGACTTTGGCCAAAGAAGAAGCCTTCTCAGAAAACCAGAGGTAGAGATGAGAGTGAAAGCAGGTGATCTTTCCCAAAGTGCCTGGTCTGCAGGGTTATCTTGAGTTGACTGCATTCCCAACAGAAGGTTGTAGTTTCTCTCCAGGTAGGAGAAGTCCCTCTTCAGGTCTAGAGATACAAAAGTCCCAAAATTTCTAGGCTCAAAGTACTGCACTATGTTTGTGGTTCTCCTACCATTCAACCAACCCTGCTCAAATTGTCTTAATTTGTATGTGCCATCTGCTGGGGCCCTAACTGAGGCATGCATTTTATTCATCTCCATATCCATTTAGCACACTGCTTGGTACATGCTAGGGATCAAGGAAGGTTTATTGATTAAGTAAATAGGGAAGTGAGAGAGGCTGAAGATGTAGAAGCTGACCAGTAGCCAATAGTGAAGAACCTTGGATATCCTTTTGTGAAGTTTAGAGTTTAATCCTTAAGACCAGGTGTTGCAACTTCAAGTATTGTAGGGGCCAGGCAGTGGAGGTGGAATTGTGGCATAGTAGGAAGTAAGTTATGTCTCTTTTATACTTCTGCTACTCAGCATCAGCACATTAATGCTCTGCAAGAATTTGGACCTGGAATGGCCATATCTTCTGATTTTTTGAGAAATCAGAAATCAGAATTTTAAGTGGGCTGCCAAGTTTTAAATGTTGTCAATATTTAACATTTAAAAATACTTCATACTGGCAAACAAACATGTGGCTGCCAATTTGTAAGCTCTCTGTAGCCAGTAGGGACCCACTGGACAGTGTGAAGACAGAGAGATGGTCAGATATTGCATAGTGCCATGAAAAAGATATCCCCAGTGGATGAGCTGCAGAGACCAAGGGCCTTTGATCTCCGTTTCTGAAGTGGTTCGAATGTGCTGAGAGGTGCTTACACTGAGAACGTGAATCTTTCTCCATGACGGATAATTTTTTAAATCAGTTTTTAATTCTAAAAATAGTGTTTGGTGGATTTCTCCACTTTAGTCAGGTTCCCAGCCACTTTCTCTATTTCTGCTTCAAGCTAGGAGCTCTGAGTTCTTTTGGGTTTTATCAAATTATACACTGTGCAAAGGCATCATTTCACCAACAGATGGACTTAATGTGCATGAAAATACATGCCTTTTAAAGAAACTAAATTAGTAGTTCCACTTCTTTCCCCTTTTATTAAAGACAGAGTTCTAGGAGAGCTCTCTGCTATAAAGTCAGACTTTATAGACATCAGCAAAATGAGATTTATTTGGATAGAAATTGGACGGAACATCAGAGAAGTCTTTTGCAACAGTGAACCTGCAGGTTTCAAGTAGAGATTAGGAGGATGCTGGCCCCTGGATCCAGACTGGTTTAAAAAACAGAAGAGGGAGAAGAAAAGCTTTCAAATCTAACTCTTTAAGAGTTGAAGTTTCCCTTGAAAGAATGGGTTGATGCCTTCCTTCCATAAGAGGCAAAATGGCATGAAGACTGTGGAAGTTAAATGACGCAGGAAGGTGCCATCCATGGAGCACAGGAACTGGAACACAAAGACCTGGGTTCTGGTCCCAGCTTTATCACTAACCCCTCCTGGCTCATCTCACAAGTCCCCTCTCCTCTCAGACTCTCTGGTTTCTCATTTAGGATGTGGAATCTGTCTACCCCATAGCATTATAGTGAGAGAAGTAAAATAAATGGTGTAAAGAAAAGCACCTTTATTTCCATGCTTTTATTGTTTATGTATCTACTTATTTATTATAATGATATGAACAATAATGAGCACATTCTCACTATGAATTTCAGACAATGTGCCATCAATGCAAAAGCTCTCTTTGTTTTCCCTTTGTTCCAATCCCAGAATGATTACCAGTAATTATTAGCAGTTTGATATGTATGTGTCCCTGAATTTTTGTATAAAATTATATACATATAGACATACAATGCTTTTTTATCAATTAAGTAACATTATGCTATACATACCACATGTTTTGTTCTACTAAGTAAAACATTCTATGTCAGAATATACAAATCAGCCACATTCTTTTGGAAGGTTTCAAGGATGCCATAGTTTGGATGCACCATGATCCTTTTACCCATTCCCTAGGAATGGGTATTATGGTGCTTCTAATATTTCGCTGTTACCAGAAAACGCAGTCGATGTTTTTCATACCCATGTGAAACTATTTCCCTTGGGTAGGTATTAAGAACTAAAACTACTTGGTCAAAGAGAATACACATTTAAAATTTTTATAGATACTGCCAAATTGCCCTCCACACAGTCTGCTGATATGTGATCCTACAAGAAGTATTTAGGAGCATTCCTTTCACCTCTCCCTTCCTGACACTGGGATAGTATTAGTCTTTTAATTTTTACCCATCTAATGAGTGAAAAATAGAATTTTGCTGTCATTTTAATTAGCACTTTCCAGATAACTAGCGAGGCTGGTAGCTTTTCAGACCTTTACTGGTTATCTCTAAAGATGAGTATCTTGCTATGTGTTAGAATAGCTAACATAAAAAGCATGGCTGTAGTAGAAAGAATGGTGTATGTGAGAGAGAGATTGGCTCACGTTCTAGCTCTTGCATTCATAAGATTGGTGGCTTTTGGCAAGTTACTTCACTTTTTCAGGCTTTAGTGTTCCCATCTGTAAAATGGGAAACATACTGTTATAGACTGAATTTTTGTGTCCTCCCAAATTCATATGTTGAAGTCCTGACCCTCAATGTGATGGTATTTGGAGATAGGGCCTTTAGGAGGTACTTAGGTATAGACAAACGAAGCCATGTACAAACCAGGAAGAGGGCTCTCACCTGAAACCAAATTGGCTGGCACCTTGATCTTGGACTTCCCAGCCTCCAGAGCTATGAGAAACAACTTTCTGTTGTTGAAGTCACCCAGGCTAAAACATTTTGTTATGGCACCCTGAGCCAGCTAAGACACATATTATATCACCAATCCCTTGACTGAGGATTGTTATGAGAATTAAACGTGAATGTGCATGGAAACTTTTTTTGTGATAGTGTATTAGTCTGAGTTCTATAGAGAGAGCTGATGGTATAGTGCAGTCTGAGTCCAGAGGTCTGAGACCGAGGAGAGCTGATGGTATAAGTTCCAGTCCAAGTCTGAGTCTGAAGGCAGAAGTCCTGTGTTCCAGCTTGAAGACAATCAGGCAAATTTTGTTCTGTTCAATTCAGGGCTTTGACAGGTTGGATGAGGCCTAAGGGCAATCTGCTTTACTTAGTCTACTAATTCAAATGTTAGTCTTATCTAGAAAATCCCTCACAGATAAGCACAGAATAATGTTTAACCAAAGATCTGAGTACCCCATGGTCCAGTTAAGTTGACTCATGAGATTAGCCATCACATCTAGACAAAGATACAGATTTTGTTGTTGTTCATTTAACCTGCTGGGGAAAGAGTGATTTCTAATCTTCATCCCCTCATCATTCTTTCCTTATTTAGTATGCACTGATAGTCAATGATTGTGTAGCTGTTGAAAAGTACATTACTATTAAAAAGTTGAGTCTGCCGGGAGCAGTGGCTCATGCCTGTAATCCCAGCACTTTTGGAGGTCGAGGCAGGCGGATCACGAGGTCAGAAGATTGAGACAATCCTGGCCAACATGGTGAAACCCCGTCTCTACTAAAATACAAAAAATTAGCCGGGCGTGGTGGCACATGCCTGTAGTCCCAGCTACTTGGGAGACAGAGGCAGAGGAATTGCTTGAACCTGGGAGGTGGAGGTTGCAGTGAGCTGAGATCGCACCACTGCACTCCAGCCTGGTGACAGAGAAAGACTCCGTCTCAAAAAAAAAAAAATAAGTTGAGTCAAACATTTTCTGTTTTGCCTTTATTAGTGGTGAAGTTTATTTTGCCTTTATTAGTGGTGAAGCTTTGGGATGGATTTGGACAAAATCTCCAGATGTGAGTGCCATTTTTTTTGCTCTTCTTCCTAATGCACAAGTATCTGACCCAACACTTCCTCTGTAAAGAGACCCCAGAAGTTCCCTTCCAAAGGCAATGCACAGGTAGAGTCTCCTATTGGCTCATGGGTATATCTTGTTCTAGATACTCTCTCTTCTCTCAGACTAGCTTGCTGATCATCACTTGCCCAATCTCTTGAAAGCTTCTTGAGACAGAGGAGTTACCTTATTCATCTTTGCAATTCCCAAAGGGCCTAGTATTAGTCAGCCAGTAGGGGCTCCAGAATTATTGGCTGAATCCTGATGATATAGAAGCGGACATTCTGCCTGACCTAGTTGTGTGTATTTTCTCCTGTGAA
Source organism: Homo sapiens (assembly GCF_000001405.40). Taxonomy (NCBI): domain Eukaryota; kingdom Metazoa; phylum Chordata; class Mammalia; order Primates; family Hominidae; genus Homo; species Homo sapiens. The sequence continues at coordinate 107,793,860 of NC_000009.12, forward strand.
TTTAAACAGATGAGATATTAGAGCAGTGGCTCTAAGCAGCTTCAAAACTGTAGCTGCATAAAGAAACACCTGCAAAGTTTGTAAAATTCTCAGTGCCCAGCATGCACCCAGGACCAATTAAGTCAAAATGTTGGAGAGTTAGACTCAGGCATTCTTGCTTTTTAAAGCTTCTCAGTTGATTCTAACTTTCACCCTCTGCCGTAGAGGTTAGGTTGGTTCTTCTCCAGGCTGTGGGTTATCAGCCTAAGAAGATTTTGCACACTGTCTACCAGATAATCTCTTGCTATAATAATGTCCTTAGAAGGAAAACTTTGTAATTTTTTTTTTTTTACTGTTCTCCAAACTTCTATCCTGAAAAACTTTGTAATTTTATAAAGAGTCAACTCATAATAGCAATAGTGATTTTACTGCAGTCCAAAGTTCAAAAGTTGTATTTCAGAAATGAGGCCTTAATCCAAAGGCGAACAATATTTGGCAGAACAAGGCAGTAAAAATTTACCAGCAAGCAAGTAAATAAAGAACCTAAGAGTCATAGAGCACATAGCAATAAAGAAATGTTAGCCTAGTTGCCTTTTACCAAAGACTAGCCCTCAAACCAACATTGCTATTAATCTGTCACTATCTGGAGAAGCTGGCCTGGTGGTTTGTCACAGATTAGATTGTGCAAAAAAGCTATCAGCCTGCTGTTGAGCCAGAAGGCAGTTAGAAGAGGTATGGAAGAGGAAGAAGGAAGATTGCTGCTAGTAAAATCCCGCTCTGGCTCCCTCAAACTGATTGGATTCATTTAGAAAGAGTATTCAATCTCCTGTGCAGAATTACTGAAATTACATTTTGTATTTGCATTACCTTTGAACTATATGTTCTGTAGCTTGTACATGCATATGCATTTCATTCTTACTAGAACAGTATAAGTGGTGCACAAAACTAACTCAATTGTTTTAAATTCACTTCTTGATATGTGAACATTCTACCAATGCTGTCTACCTTTGGCTCACTGATGAGTAAAGATGGCCTAAAAGGAAACCAGGCTAAATGATTGCCCGAAACAGGAAAGTAACACAAGCAAGAAAACATATGACAGGGCTTGTTGGCCATTTGAAGTTAAGTTCTGCTTTCAATAAAAAGTATGGTCTCTTAGGACGGCCAGTGCCCCCAGCCCCCGACCCCCTGGCTTACCTAGTTCTAGAAATAACACTCTTACCTCATACTTGTTTGAACCTCACTGAACTTCTACATGCTGTGGGTCTGCTGGAATTTTGTGCTCACGAGGCGTGGTTGGCACTCCATGTGAATATGGCAGCAGGGAACAGGGGGCACACAGATTGCCTGAATCTATTCTGGTAACCTGTATGTTCCCATGTTCCATCAGATTTTGCTTAGAAAACACATATTCAAAGCTCAAACTATTAAGAATTTCAAGATGGTGCCAACAAAGCATTAAACCAAACATGGGGCCCTTCTGAGTGAGGGTTCTCTGGGGCTGCCCAGGTTGCACTGCTATGAAGCTGGCCCTGAGGACAGTGAAGGAAAATGCACTGCAGATGAAGCGATTGCAGCATTTCAGAAAGGATTTGGCAATTTGTGTGATATTCATACCTAATAGACTCATACTCCATTTCTGGGGATGTATCTCAATGTTCTAATTAAAGCTTTACTTTCAAAGTTGCTCATGACAGAATTGCCATGAGAGAAGTGAACAACCAGTTATAACCTAAATATATAGTTTAAAAAGATTAATTAAATAAATATTTCTTTGATAAAGTATTATGCATCCAGTAAAACCCATGGAGACTGTGTCAACGCATGATGATATGGTTAGGTTTCGTGTCCCCACCCAAATCTCATCTTGAATTATAGTCCCCATAATTCCCATAATCCCCACATTTCAAGGGAGAGATCAGGTGGAGGTAATTGGATCATGGTTTCCCCCATGCTGTTCTTGTGATAGTGAGTGCGTTCTCACAAGATCTGATGGTTTTATAAGGGCCTCTTTACCCTTTGCTTAGCACTTCTCCTTCTTGCTGCCTTGTGAAGAAGGTGCCTTGTTTCTCCCTTGCCTTCCACCATGATTGTAAGTTTCCTGAGGTCTCCCCAGCCATGCTGAACTGTGAGTCAATTAAACCTCTTTCCTTTATAAATTACCCAGTCTTGGGCAGTTTTTTACAGCAGTATGAAAATGGAAGAATACACATGAGAAAATGTGTCTGCTTAAATGTTAGTGGAAAACAAAAAGATGTACTATTTCATGCTACATACTCTGATTTCATATTTATATATTTGAAATAATATTATATAGATTATATATGTAAAATATGTATCTGTATCTTCAAGTAAATGTTAGTCAAATACTTCACAGTCTTTGCATATTAGATTATTAGGCACTTTTCTTTATTCTTTATTTTAGTTTCTACTTATTCCAAACTTTATTGTATGAAAATTTATTTCTTAACTACATTTTGTTTATTTGTTACAGCCTTATCTTACTGATGCTCCATAATTCTTTAGGACTTCAGGATAATGAAGACATCGCCATCAGTCAATTTCACATGTTTCATACAGTTTATAATATGTGGCATTTTTAGATTTTTTCTCAAAAAAGCAAAACTATGATTGAATGATCTGGCAGGGGAGACTGGAGAAGGGGTCAGGAGGGTTCACTGAAGAGAGGAGGCATTTTTTTTCTGCCTGGATTTTCATTGCCCTGTATATTAGTCCATTTTCACACCGCTGATAAAGACCTACCAGAGACTGGAAAGAAAAAGAGCTTTAATTGGACTTACAGTTCCACATGGCGGGGGAGGCCTCAGAATCATGGCGGGAGGTAAACGCACTTCTTACATAGAGGCAGTAAGAGAAAATGAGAAAGAAGCAAAAGCGGAAACCCCTTATAAACTAATCAGATCTTGTGAGACTTATTCACTATCATGAGAATAGCACGGGAAAGACCAGCCTCCGTGATTCAATTACCTCCACCTGGGTCCCTTGGAATTCTGGGAGATAAAATTCAAGTTGAGATTTGAATGGGGACACGGCCAAACCATATCACCCTGTATTAGGGTAGAGTTAATTGAAAGCGCTTTATGATGACGCTGCTGAACTTCAAATAGCCTGAGTGTTACAGGAAGTCTATAGGGCTGAGACCAAAAGGACCTAGAAATCCAGCTCTACCTTGTTCTCTTTGTTTTGTCGTCTCTCTCTTTTTTTTTTTTTGGTGGTGAAAAACACATGATATAAATTTTACCATTTTTATGTGCACAGTTCAGTAATATTAAGTATATTTACATTTTTGTGAAACATCCACTAGGCTTTTTTTTTTTTAAAAAAAGTCTTTTTGAGGTATAATTGATCTATTAAAAAAACTGTACATATTTAATGTATAAGATTTGATGGGTTTAGATGTGTGCATCCACCCATGAAACCATCACCACAGTCAAAGTAATAAACAACCATCTCTGTATTAATCCGTTCTCATGCTGCTGATAAAGACCTACCCTAGACTGGGAAGAAAAAGAGGTTTAATTGGACTTACAGTTCCACATGGCTGGGGAGGCCTCAGAATCATGGCGGTAGGTGAAAGGCACTTCTTAGATGGGGGCAGCAAGAGAAAATGAGGAAGAAGCAAAAGCGGAAACCCCTGATAAACCCATCAGATCTCGTGAGACTGTTTAACTATCACGAGAATAGCAGGAGAAAGACTGGCCCCCATGATTCAATTATCTTTCCCTGGGTCCCTCCCACAACACGTGGGAATTCTGAGAGATACAATTCAAGTTGAGATTTGGGTGGGTACACAGCTGAACCATATCAATCACCTCCAAAAGTCTTCTTGTGTCCCCTATGCTGTTTTTTTTTTTTTTTTTTTTTTTTTTTTTTTTTTTTTTTTAGAAAATATGGAATGGTTCATGAATTTGCATGTCTTCCCTGGGCAGGGACCAGGCTAATTTCTGTATCATTCCTATTTTAGTATATGTGCTGCTGAAGTGAGCATTCCAACCCTGTTTTTGTGATAAGAGCACTTAACATGAGATTTATGTTTAAACAAAATGTTTAAGTTTACAATACAGTAAACTATAGGCACTATGTTGCACAGCAGATCTCTAGAACTTATTCATCTTGCATGTAAAATGTTGCAGCCATTATGGAAAACAATATGGAGATTCCTCAAAAAATTAAAAAAATAAAACTACCATAGTACCTGCAACCTCACTTCTGGCTATATATCCAAAAGATTTGAAATCAGGATCTCAAAGAGATATTTGCCCTCCTATGTTTATTGCAGCATTATTCATTGGCTTAGTTTATTTTCTGCTGCTATAACGAAATACCACAGACTGGGTATTTTATAAAGGAAATAAATTTCTTTCTTACAGTTCTGGAGACTGGGAATTCCAAGAGCATGATACCAGCATCTGGCGAGCGTTATCCCCTGGTAGGAAGTATCACATGGTGAGTGAATGTATAAGACAGAGAGAAAAGTGAACCGAACTCATCTTTTTTTTTTTTTAAGCAGGACCCTACTTCTTTGACAACTAACCCACTCCCATGATAACAGTATTAATTCATGCCTGAGGGCAGAGACCTCATGACTTTATCGTCTCTTAAAAGTCCTGACTTTCAATACTGTTACAATAGCAATTAAATTTCAACATGAATTTTGGCAGGGACATTCAAACCATAGCATTCACAGTAGCCAATATATGGAAACAAACTTAATGTCCATTGATGAATGAATGGATAAAGAAAATGTGGTAAATCCACACAGTGGAATATTTTTCAGTATTAAAAAAAGAAAGCAATCTTTTCGTATGCACCAATATGGATAAACCTGGAGGACATTATGCCAAGTGAAATAAAGCAATCACGGGAGGACAGCTATTGTATCATTCCAGCTCTAACTCTTATTAGCTGTGTGATTTTTGAACCTAAGTTATTACAGCTGTAAAATAGGAATGATACTCCTGCCATAAGAGGGTGAATGAGAAGACACCATCAGAACATTGAACTGTGCACTGTGTGCACTGAATCTGTCTTGGAAAAGTCACTCTGTCAAATGTTGGTTGTTGGTTGTACCACAAAGCCTCATATTCCATATTCCTCTTGGGGATTAGCGGGCCAAGTTTTGGCCATTGAAATAGCAAATTAGTTTCCAAATATATTGTTTCCAGGAAAATTATCTTTTCAAAACAGTTATGGTGTTTCATGTCTCACAAACCACAGAGTTTATTGTTCATCATTTCTGCTTCAAAAAAGTGCTCTTTTTTATGTTTTTAATGTATTCCAAGAAAAATTAAAAATGTTTCCATCACGGTTAAAAAAAGAAACAAACCACCTTTGAATTCTAGAGGTGGTCAAATTTAATAAAATGAGACATAGGCAGCTAGAAAACTTTTTTTTTTTTTGAGATGGAGTATCGCTCTGTCGCCCAGGCTGGAGTGCAGTGGCGCAATCTTGGCTCACTGCAAGCTCCACCTCCCGGGTTCAGGCCATTCTCCTGCCTCAGCCTCCCGAATAGCTGGGACTACAGGCGCCTTCCACCACGCCAGGCTAATTTTTTTGTATTTTTAGTAGAGACAGGGTTTCACTGTGTTAGCCAGGATGGTCTCGGTCTCCTAACCTCATGATCCACCTGCCTCGGCCTCCCAAAGTGCTGGGATAACAGGCATGAGCCACCGCGCCCGGCCTAGAAAACTTTTATTCAACATTGTTATAAAAGTAAGTCTGCTGTGGTATTGTTTGCTCTGCATTCAGTGATTGATTCATTGACTCACACGCTCAGCATCTGCTGAGTGACTAGAGCTGAGTATAGGGGTGGAGAGATAAGATGAATAAGGTATGATTCCTCTGCCCTCTCTTCCCTGCACCTTGTTTTCCAGGAGGCAGGCTTGTAAACTAACAATATGTTAGCTGTACACAAAAGATTATAGGAGCCGTACCTGGGGGTGCCAACTCTGGCTGAAGAAGTTGAGGATGGTTTCCATGGGATGGATCTCAGCTCTCCCAAAGCGCTTCAGAGCTCTTACCCCTACAACACCTTCATTATGATGTGGTGTAGATACAGGCTGGCTCCACCCTCAGGGCATGCACTGCTGGTCAGACAGGCAGGTGATTTAAAGACATTTTTCTTACCACTGTCAGCAGTAGGGCCTAAAGCTTGGTCAGAAGGCAAAATGAAACTGTTAGCAAAGCGAAGCCTGGGAATTCCAGATCCTGGGTCCTTATGTGCCCATTATAACTGAGAACAGCCTTTGGCAAGTGTACAAATGGGATCACTAGGCTAGAGAAATAAGACCTTTGTTTGTGAGTACAGGTTGAGTATCCCTTATCTGAAATGCTTGGGATCAGAAATGTTTTGAATTTCAGGTTTTTTCAGATTTTGATATATCTGCATGTATGTAATGAGATATCTTGTGGATGGAATACAAATCGAAACACAAAATTCATTTATATTTCATGTACACCTTCTGCAAATAGCCTTAAGGTAATTTTATATGATATTGATTATTATATTTATACGATAATATTTATATGATTATTTATACGATATTATAATGATTTTGTGTATGAAACAAAGTTTGTGTACACTGAACTACCAGAAAGCAAAAGTGTCACTATCTCATGTTGGTGCTCAGAAAATTTTGGATTTTTGAGCATTTCAGATTTTGGATTTTCAGATTGGGGCATTCAACCTGTGTTTTTAAGAGATTGCTGGATGAGGGAAATAGTCATTTTCTGATCACCTAGATCAGAATCATTTGTGGATGCTTGTTGAAAAGCAAATTCCGGGTCAGGTGCGGTGGCTCACACCTGTAATCCCAGCACTTTGGGATGCCGAGGTGGGCAGATCACTTGAGGTCAGGAGTTTGAGAACAGCCTGGTCAACGTGGTGAAACCCCATCTTTACTAAAAATACAAAAATTAGCCGGTCGTGGTGGCAGGTGCCTGTAATCCCAGCTACTCGGGAGGCTGAGGAAGGAGAATCGCTTGAACCCGGGAGGTGGATGTTGCAGTGAGCCAAGATCTCGCCACTGGACTCCAGCCTGGGTGACAGAGCAAGACTCCCTCTTAGAAAAAAAAAAAAAAAAAAAGCAAATTCCTGTTCTTCATAATAGAAGAACTGAGTCAAAATCTAATCTCTGGGATTGGGAACTGGCAATTTGTTTTTGACCAGTTTCCTGGTTAATTTTACATATGACCTAAAATTTATCAATCGCCAGTACAAGAGAAAGAACATATAGCTCAAAGTCAACAGTTCTGGTTCTATGGCTTAGGCACATCATTTTACTTTTTTGAGCTTCAGTTTCCATGCTGTAAAATGGGGCTTGAGAACAGTATTTCCCTTTCAATGTGGTTGTTAGATTGAAATAAAATTATGTGGGTGATGTCACCTCATAATAATAAAATGCCTTGCAGTGCTAAGTCATTGTTATTACTTTTCAAGACAGTGCATTTTCTTCTCAAAGAGCTTTTAACTGAATGAAAGTCCTTTTATAAATTTGTTGAGGGGCGTGTGGAATAGTCTTTTAGGCTTCTGCTCCTAGTTCTAACTTTGGAGATACTGTCAACATAATCAATTTGCATTGAATACAATATGGTTTTAATATACAATGATAAAGACTACCTCGGATTTCTTTATGAGTCTAGTCTAGGAAGAGATATGTAAATAAATAATTTCAATGCAATTTGAAAATAATAATTATAATGGTCATAATAAAAATGTTTAAATCAACAATTATTATAATTAACATATTTTGAGCATTATGATGTTCCTGGAATTCTGCTAAGTGATTATATTTTCTCATTTAAGCCTCATTATTACCCTGTAAGATGGGCATTATTATTTGCATTTTACAGATAATAAAATTGTGGCCCAGTGAGGTAGAATGACTTGCTCGAGGGCATACAGTCATAAATAGAAGAGTTCAGATCCAAATCCAAGTCTTGGTTGGGTGTGGTGGTTCACACCTGTAGTTGCAGCACTTTGGGAGGTGAAGCAGGAGGATTGCTTGAGGTCAGAAGTTTGAGACTAGCCTGGGCAACATTAAACAAAAGACCAAAAAAACCCTTAAAATCTATCTGTCTGATTCTATCTTCCTCCTCTTTCTGTTGGTCTATAGAGTTTCCAGGAAACTGTTAGGTTTGCATTTGCAATTGTGAGACGTAAATCCCTAGGCTGAAAGAATCCTCCTTAATGCAGTAACTTTCAAAATCTTGACAGTAATCCACAGTGAGAACTTGATCTTACAGCATGACCCAATGCACATACACACATACACAAAGGTACACACGTGTGTGTATGTATACTTGTCATAAAAAAAACTCAATACTCATTTTTACTATGATGGTTTTTCTTTTCTTCCTTTTTTTTTTTTTTTTTTTTTCTGAGACAGAGTCTCACTCTGTCACCAGACTGGAGTGCAATGGTACGATCTCGGCTCACTGCAACCTCTGCCTCCTGGGTTCAAGCGATTCTCCTGCCTCAGCCTACCGAGTAGTTGGGACTACAGGCACATGCCACCACACCCAGCTATTTTTTGTATTTTTAGTAAAGACAGGGTTTCACCATGTTGGCCAAGATGGTCTCGATCTCTTGACCTCAGATGATCCGCCCGCCTTGGCTTCCCAAAGTTCTGGGATTACAGGTGTCAGCCACCACGCCCAGCCTTGTTCCTTTTGTTTCATAAAAAAATGTTTGTGGTGACTCCATTGATCTGATTACTTTTTGATGGGTCTGACTTATGGTTTGAAAATCCCACCTTAAGGGATATTGAAACCAGGTCTCTCTTTTGTAGATGTGAAGTCTGTGACTGGAGAGGGCAAACAATCTGGGGAGGGTCTAATTGGTAATCAGCAGGAATCAGCTACCACATGGCTAGCCTAGAGTTTTGTATTTTCTGTTTTTTCCCTATTCATAGGTTCTAAAATGACAGTCCTGTTAACAGAAAGAACAATCATTTTGTGATCCAGCTGCCCTTGATTCAAATCTGAATTCCACCCTGTCTAGCTATATGACTTGATGTATGACTTCATCTCTCTGAGCCTCTTTTCCTCTCTGGACAAGGGAGGTAAAAATACCAATGAGGAGGCTTGTGAAGGTGAATTGATATCAAGGCCCAGTGCCTGGCATACATTATGTGCTTAACATAGGGGAGACACCACAGGTAACTGGGCGAAATGTTAAGCAAGGGACAGTGAAGACTGAGAGTCACTTGTTAGGTGGTCATGAAAGCAACCTCGTTGGTTTCCAGAATCCAGTGCAGCCTTAAGATTTGAGATGCGGAGATAACATTTGTATGTGTTTAGCAGTGTGGTTCAGTGGGGGAAAATGCTTGGCTTTGATCCAAACAGATGTGGCTATGAATCTCAGCTCCAGAACCTTCTAGCCTCAATCAACTTGTTTCTTCATCTGTAAACTGAAATATTAAAACTTCCTTCAAGAAGTATTGTGGGATTCAACAAGGTATTTTCCCAGTATTTACCCCTTCCTTTCACAACATGGCTTAGAAATTTTATGGATCACTTTTGATTTTACCTTTATATTATAGAAATTTTTGAACATACAAGAAAGTAAAAAGCATCCATATGCTGATCCATACACACCAAGTTTCCTGAATTATGGACCTGTTTGCATTGAATAGTTTAGTCTCTCCCCACAGTTGGCTAACATACTGCCTAGCTGATAGTAAGCATTCAAGAAATATTTGCTGGTTGAATGAATGGATAGGGGATGAAGAATGACAAACCTCACTTCTGTCACCAATTACTTATAGCAGGAACCCAAACTCAAATGACTTCAGGGGCCAGACAGTCAGTGTAATTGGGTGAATTATGCCCGGGTAAGACAATAAGGAGTGAAGGAGACTGTGGAGAGGATATATGGCTTCTAAAGGGACTTGAACTTAAATAAATTTTAACACTCTCTGAAGGTCCACTCTCAAAGATCTGTGGGCTATCCATGATCTCTGATTTTTAGAATGCCTGTTACATGATTTGCACCATGCTAGGCATTGAGACAAAGATATATCATGGACCAGTGAAAGGTAAACTGGAGAGTCCTACAGACCTAATCACCTGCTAAGTTGCTTTGGTTCACTAAGCCTCAGTGTTCTATCTGCAAATGCAAGTTATGAGACTGAATTTGCAGGATTGCTTAGGAGATCATGGTAGGCAGCCTCTGAGATGACCCCCAATGATTCCCCACCTCCTGTTACTCTCACTCTTGTGTGATCTCTTCCTCTTAAGTGTGGGCTCAATTTAGAGAGTTGCTTCTAATGAATAGGATACAGCAGAAGTGATGGGATGTCATTTTCAAGACTAGGTTATAAAAATTGTGGCTTCTTCGTAGAGTGTTCTTTCTGTTGCTTGGATTGTTCACTCCCCAGTCCTGAGGGAGCCCTCTGGAGAGGCTTATGTGAGTGAGCTGGGGAATGAGTTTTCTAAGACCTGCCAATAACCATATGTGGTGAGCTCAAATGCAGATCCTCATCCAGCTGAGTCTTCAGATGACACCACTGCCCCAACCCACACCTTGACTGCAACCTCATGAGAGACCGTGAGCCAGTGGCACCTAGGTAACCAACACTCACAGTTTCTCAACCCACAGAAACATTTACTTGTTATATGTGGTAACAGCCACTAAACAAGAAATCTTAATACCCTATAAACAAATGCTATGGCAAAAAAAATGTACATGGAGGGTAGGAACCTGAAGGAGAGAGCTTCCAATACTGGAGTCAGAGAAAGATTCACAGAAGAAATGAGTATTGGGTTACATAAGATGACTAAGAATATGAGGCAGAGAAACAGTATAAGAGTATGCTTTGTAGGGGGAACAGCCAAGACATAAGCAGTGAAAGGAACAGCAAGTGTGGATGGTGTGGTGGTTACGGGGCAGGAGACGAGACAGAAGGCAGACCACAGAGGACCCTTATTCAGTAAACGTGATTTATATTTGATTGACATTTCACTTTAGGATGCTCACTAGAATTGCATACTCAGAGAAGTAGGAGAGACAGTGGAAGTAAGGTAGTTCTTTGCCCACCTCCACTGTCTTTTCCAGGTAGTCCTCAAGAGAAAGTTAACTAAGGTATTCACTAAGGGCTGGCATGGTGGCTTACGCCTGTAATACTTGGACTTTGGGAGGCCAAGGTGGGAGGATCACTTGAGCTTAGGAGTTCACGATCAGCCTGGGCAACGTAGTGAGACCCCATATCTACTAAAAAATACAAAAATTAGCTGGGCATCGTGGCACATTCTTGTAGTCCCAGCTCAGCTACTCTGGAGGCTGAGGTGGGAGGACTGCTCGAGCCTGGGAGGCAGAGGTTGCAGTGAGCCGAGATCATGTCACTGCACTTCAGCCTGGATGACAGAGTGAGATCTTGTCTCAAAAAAAAAAAAAAAATTATTAAGGTGTTTACCTAAGTCCATTGTCAACTATCTTATTGTTAAATAGACAAGGCATGCAGCCGAGGAGGTTCATTTGACCCAGGTCATCTTGTATGAAAGTCCATACCTCGCACTTCTGCTGGCACTGCTTTTGTTATGTAATAAAATCATGCTCCTCTTGAGCAGCTGGAATTTCTTTTAATCTGACAGACATTATGAATCACACATCCCTGATAAGTGTTTCCAACTTAGCCTGTGGAAAACTCAAGTTAATTTGTGTCCCAACTTCCTACTCTACCTGGGGAGAATCAGTCTTCCTCTGGCTTCATGCAACTATTCTAACTTAATTTTGCCATTCCCATTACTTTTAAAGACTGTTTTCATTGTATTGTATTGTAGATTTTTTAAATAGCTACTTCAAGATTTTTGGGGGAGTGGGATGTGGTAAACATAAATGTATATAAAGGGTTCTATTAATTCTGTGGAAATGAAAATGAGGAAAAGAAAGAATGATGCCTCATCTCCCTCAGCAAATACTTGAATTCCTACATTCTTAGGAATACTACAAGAAGGAATGAAAGGTTTTGGGAGAAGATGGACAGTTACTTTTAACACATGCACATTTGAGGTCCTCTGGAAACAGAGCTGTCCACTACTGAATTGGTTATGTAAGTAAGGAGCTCAGGAGTGAGGTAGATTCTGGAGAGAAAGTTTAGAAGTCATCACCCCAGTTGTTGAAGCCAATGGAGGAAAGAGACAGTTCTTTAAGACAGTTCTAACTGTGGCTAAGACAGTTGTGTCATTAGCCACAAATGACAGCAATAGAAAGAGAAAAGATATATGATCCTCTAACAACACAGAAATTATCCCATGACTGATGGCATACACATGTACATTACCCATTCACCCATGCAGCTCACAAGTGAATTATATAACACCACATTGACACCTAATTTTAAATCTTATGAATAGACATGAAGTGCCAATTTACACTCGGCACTAGAAATTCTTTCCGGGATATGTATTTTTTATACATTCGTTTTCTTCTCTTATTGAGTTTATAAATCATTTATTTCCCGGTGGTTTAAAAACAAACATACAACATTGTTTGGAGAAGTGATGGTCTGCTATAAAAGTTAGATGGTCAGTACTAATGGGGAAATTTTGATCGCTTCAGGGTTGTTCTTTTCCATGCCTGGCACATGCAAGATGAAGCTAATTTGTATTATGAAATATAATGTGTTCTCTTTTTATTTTATTGAAATGCTTTAAAACTTAAGATCAGAGCTGGGTTAACAATATTTTCCAAGTAAAACACCATCAAGTACAAATATTACCAAGGACCTCCAAGTTCCTTGTTAAGTGCCCTATACATTTACATGAAAAGGGATTTTTAAAAGTTTCCTCTATTCCTTACTCCCCACTCAGTGCTGGTTAATTAACCAATCATAAAGAAAAGATGAAAGTATGTGAACCTCAAATCCTTGTGTTCTGGAAAAAAAACATACTCACAGAATAATGAAAAAAAATTTCAACTAATGAGAACCAGGAACAATGACCACTGGAAATAATGAAAACAGTTGGATCAAACAGGTAAAAACTTCACAGAAAATTAGCAGTGCATTGGTCTGGCTTTGCTTCTGTGTCTCCTTAAGGCCTATGTCTTGGTTGGATGACTTATTGGTGGGAGCAGAGGGGAGCTCTTTTCTTCAGAGTACATGGTTTAAATGTTCTTTCAACTTTGTTGGCTAACAGGTTGTTTAATATGCCTTTTCACCTGGCTTCCATCTCTTTACATACATATTTAAAGTCCCTGCCTTCTGCTGCAGTCCACCATCTTGAAACAGCCTGTCCCTTATTCAGCCAGCACAGACACTCCAACCTCCCTGATATTGCATAGCAGGGAGATGAGGTTTAGAGTTGTATGACTTTCTTGACTTGGAAGAGGAACTGGATTTGTTCCATTTTAAATGCTGCTTGTGGCAGTCTATGGCAGGCAAAATTTTGTCCTCTTTCTAGGTATTAGGACGGGATAAATTCTCCAGCCTTCTTTGCAGTTAGGTTGGGGCTTGCGCTGGAGTTCTTGCCAATGGAATGTGCACAGAAATGATGTCCACTAGTGGTTCTCACGCTACAGTGTGTATAATGAGTCATCCCATCACTCAGGGATCTTGTTGAAATGCAGATTCTGATTCAGTAGGTTTTGGGTGAGGCCCATGATTCTGCACTTCAATAAGCTCTTAGTTAATACCAGTGCTGCTGGTTTTATGGACAACACTTCAAGTAGTAAGAACGTACACCAATTCCAACTTGGCCATAAAATATCATGTGCAGTCTTCCAAGATTTCTCTGCTTTATCTGTACAGCTACAAGTAAAGCACTTGGAATGGTAGAGTGCTTCCCTCAATGGATGGAAGGAGACTGGATCCCTCTGACACTGACTGGAAGAGCTCTGCTAAGCAAAGCTGCGAGCTCATGAAAGACTGTGAGGAGAGTAAGAGGTAACCTTTTATTGTGTTAAGTCATTAATGTCAGGGTTTACTTGTTACTACAGCATGGCTTCCTCTAACACCTCCTCTTATCAACTGCCTTTTCTGAGTCTTTCCTTGACTCATGATTTTGAGTTAACTTAGTAAACTTACCAAAGGCTGACTTTGCACCAAGAATCATTATAGGTACTGGAAAATTTAAAAGATGAAGGAGGTGGAGTCATTTTTTCCTAAGGAGCTGGGAGAGGAGATAAGAAATGGGATCAAATAATGAACAACAAGTTTCAAAGGGATCAGAGTCCAATAAAACCTGCCGCCTGAGCTCTTAAGAGAGAAATGGAAATCGTAGTTGTGAACATCAGGCTTTCTAGAAGTGGCTGTACCAACATCAGCCTTGAAAGGTGAGTAGAGTTTGAATTTATAACAATTAGGATAAGAGCACATTGGAGGAGTTAAAGTCAGGAAATGGCAGGAAGGTACCCGGGAAATGTGGGACTTGCCAATGGGATCCAGTATAGGGTGAAGAATTGGAGTCATGGTATATCCAACAGAAATGAAGGTCAAGGTTGTATCATAGAATACTTTGAATGGCAATTTGAGGAGCTTGGATTTATCCTGAGGATAGAAGGGAACTCTTGGGTTTCAATAGGAGTGTGATCTCACTGGATATAATGAGGAGGGGTGTGTGGCTCTGGTACCACACTGTCCCTACTCCCAGGGTCTGTTGCAATAGTTCAGGTATAAGAGACTGAGGTCCAGCAAACTAACACAGGAACAGGAAACCAAACACCACATGTTCTCACTCATAAATGGGAGCTGAACAATGAGAACACATGGACACAGGGAGGGGAACATCACATACTGGGGCCTGTCGGGGAGTTGGGGGAAAGGGGAGGGAGAACATCAGGACAAATACCTAATGCAAGTAGAGCTTAAAACCTAGATGACGGGTTGATAGGTGCAGCAAACCACCATGGCACATGAATACCGAGGTAACAAACCTGCACGTTTAGCACGTGTATCCCAGAACTTAAAGTAAAATTAAAAAAAAAAAAAGAGGCTGAGGTCTGAGCATAAAGATGAAAAAGACAAGGAAATCTGACAACATTGGGAGAAAGATAGAGAAGCACCTCCCCATTCCACTCCAACCCCTGTTCAGAAACCGGGGTGCTGCATCTCTGAGATGTTGTGTCTTGACATGTAACCAGTGTGTCTTAGTTACATGTAACAAAGTCAGTAAGCCATGGTGTTAGGTCTCAGAGCCCTGGCTTCTTGCTCCAAGCTCACTATGTTTCCACTTGAGTACAAGGTTGTCTCCAGTGTCATAGGTGCCCTCTAAAGTTGTACTCGGTGAGCTGGATCTAAGTACAGCATAATTCACATCTTGCAATGTGACCATCTTTGCAAATTTAATTTCAATAGTTTTGAGTCACCCCAGTTGGGAAATTTATTGGAACTCTATTTCACTATGACTTGCCAACAGCAAGTTTAAGACACACTTTAAAAAGACATTGATTACTCTAAAGGTGCTTCAACCAAACCTGCTGCTATTTCTTTGGGGTCTGTACCACACCTGGGTGAGAGGGTTTAGGCAGTCTTTCTTTCTCTCTCTTTCTTTTCTTTTCTTTTCCTTTCTTTCTTTCTTTCTTTCTTTCTTTCTTTCTTTCTTTCTTTCTTTCTTTCCTTTCTTTCCTTCTTCCTTCCTTCCTTTCTTTCTCTTTCTCTTTTTCTTCCTTCCTTCCTTCATTTCTGCCTTCCTTCCTTCCTTTTCTTTTCTTTCTTTCTCTCTTCCTCTCTTTCTCTCTTCCTTTCTCTCTCTCTTTCCTTCCTTCCTTCCTTCCTTCATTTTTTTTGGAGGCAGGGTCTCACTCTGTCACTCAGACCAGAGTGTAAAAGGGAGAACTTCCTGCAACTGTTGTCAGACAGAAATTTGTTTGAATCTTATGTCTGCCACTTCCTAACCATGTGATCTGGAACAAATAATTTAACATTCTGGAGCGAAGGTTTCTGTAGTTTACAATGGGGAGGGTGATTACCGCCAAAATTACATGAAGGTTCCATGAGATGATGGTGATGAAGTTCTGAGCACAGTGCACTGCACCCAGTGCCGAGAGTCCAGTCAGCGTCGATGCTCCTATCTCTATCCTGGGTATACTAATGAGAGCAATGGTAGCTGCTCTAATGAACAAGTCCAAAAGTTGCAGTGACCTTAAAGTAATAAAACACTATTTTTCACTCACCAAGCTGTTGATATGGATGTTCCTGGTTGCCAGGAAACCTTTCACACGGTGAGTCAGAAACCCTGCCTCCTTCTTCCTGTGGCTTCTTTCTCACCTAAGATGTGAAAAGACAGGTTGGAGAAGGAATGCCTTGGACCAGGAGTGAGACACATCGCTTATGCTCATTGGTGTAAAGTGGTCACATGACCACTCACGAGAAGCAAGAGGTGCTGGGAAATGTAATCACCGACATGGCAGCTACTTCCCAGTGACAGTTCTACACTATGGAAGGGAAGCAGTTAGCTGTCTCTACCGTAGGAGGGGGAATTCTGAGGCAGGACTGGGATATGGGCCAAGGAGCTGGGTTTATAGTGGTGAAAACAACATGTCAGATTCACATTTCTTTCCTCTCTGTCTCTTCTAGAGCTCAATCCAGCAGATCCTGTCCCACTTGGAACCTGGCTATGAGTGAGAAAACATCTGTGGTTGGAAAATGGGGCTGGTGATTCAGGCCTGTTTGGGAAGAAGATGCTCTTGAATGCTTTGCTCAACAAACACCTCCCTTCTGCAAGGAGGTGAGAGGTCATCTGTCTGTCTACTTTGACACTTTCACCCACTGAACTTCAGGGCTTAAGACACCTTCCCCATAAATTGGAGTGAGCGCGGCACAAACTGTCCCTGAATTTGACCATAACTGACTCACCAAAGGTCTGAGTAGGGGAGAAGGCAAAAACAGACAAACAGGCACTGAGGACTTTGCCATCCCAGACCTGTGTCATGTAAACAGGCTGTCTGCTTCACAGCCAAGGAATGAGCCCTGGACGTGGGTCGGAACTGGAGCCTTAACAGCTAATACCCAGAGCCTTTGACTGTGGACGACTGTGTTCAAAGGGGCAGGCTGCCCACTACTAGGGCATGGAGGAGAGGCAGGATGTGGGGAAAGAGTGTGGTTTTGGAATCAGACACAACTGGTCCCCGCCACTTACTCAGCCTTGTGACCTCAGATGAAAAAGTCTCTTATTCTTACTAAGGCTCAGTTTCCCCAACTGTGAAACTGACATAACACTATGGACTTCAAAAGGCTTTACAAGCAAAACAATTTATAAAACAATTTATTCAACAATTTATTCAGGCACTTAGCACAGTGCTAGCACATAGATATAAGTAACAGTTTTTTTTCTCTGTTCCTTCTACGTGGAGGAGAGGCATCTGTTGTCTCTTCAAGTTAATTAATTTGAAAATATCCAGTAGCAACCATTTCTTAAATTCCTCTTACGAGCCATTTAGTTTTGCAACAACTGCAAGATAGACAGTATTATTCCCATTTTACAGATATGGACATTGAAGCTCAGGAGGTACACCGGATATAGTGACTTTGATCTTCTCATTGCCCTGACACTGATGAGAGAGAGATAACAAAATCAAAAAGAACAGTTGGAGGAATAAATGTCAAATATAGGAGGCTGGAAGCATAGTCTCTAACCTCAGTCTAGCCTCGGATAATAGCATTTTCATCTTGCTACAGCAGTAGCAGACACCAGCTGGGTGCCTTCTCCCTATTTTATTCATTTGTATGTTCATTGAGCAATTTATCTATTGCTAATTCCTTAGCAAGCATTTACTGTGACCTTCCTTTTATTATTACTATTATTATTATTCATTTTAGAGACAGGGCTATGCCATTATGTTGCCTACGCTGGAGGGCAGTGGTTATTTACAGGTGTGATGCCGCTACTGATCAGCATGGGAGTTTTGACCTGATTCATTTCTGATCTGGGCCCATTTGCCCCTCCTTAGGCAACCTGTGATGCCCCACTCCCAGGAAGTCACTGTATTGATGCTGAACTTAGTGTGGGCACTTCATGGGCACAGCACACTACAGCCCAGAACTCCTGGGCTCAAGTGATCCTTCCACCACAGCTTTTCCAGCAGCTGGGACTACAGGTACATGCCATTGTGCTCAGCTACTGTGTACTTCCTATGTCCTCAAATCCTGCTACTCAAAACATAATTCCTAAGCCAGAAGCATCAGCATCACTGAGAGCTTATTAGAAATGCTGATTCTCAGGCCTAACCTCGGACCAACTGAACCAGAGAATCTGCATTTTAACAAGATCCCTGGGTGATTCACAGCATATATGAAAGATTGAAAATTGCTATCCTTGATGCTTTTCTTTTTTTTTTTTTTTTTTTGAGATGGAGTCTCACTCTGTCACCAAGGCTAGAGTGCAATGGCATGATCTTGGCTCACTGCAACCTCCGCCTCCCGGTTCAAATGATTCTCCTGTCTCAGCCTCCCAAGTAGCTGGGATTACAGGCACGTGCCACCATGCCCAGCTAATTTTTGTATTTTTAGTAGAGATGGGGTTTCACCATGTTGGCCAGGCTGGTCTTGAACTCCCGACCTCAGGTGATTCACCTGCCTCGGCCTCCCAAAGTGCTGGGATTACAGGTGTGAACCACCACACCTGGCCTCCTTGATGCTTTTCTATCTTGGTGAAATACTTATTGGGAGGACTCCCAGTACTGCTACCTTCCTTATTGTGAGTAGAAAAAAACTGAAAAAGTCAAAGTGTTTTTTCAATTCTCTCACTCAACAATAATCACCACTGAAGACTCCTGTGACCAACTCTGTGGGGATTTCTCCTCACCAACAAGCAGTCAGTTCTGTAGCAGACACCAGCTGGGTACCCTCCAATCCAATTCAATTCTGATGTTACCTACCTGGAGGTAGCGTCAGATGCCACAGGTTGAGGGCTCAGTCCCACGTGACTGCCCCTAACTTATGATACCAGTCAAAAGCCCCAGGTTGTTTTATTTGTGCTTCTGACTGACCGTCTATAAGTCAGGGATCCCCTGAACCCCTTTTTGTGTGTGATTAATTTACTGGAGCAGAGCTTACAGAACTCAAGGAAACACTTAACATTTACTGGTTTATTATTGTATTAGTTCGTTTTCATGCTGCTAATAAAGACATACCTGAGACTTGGTAATCTATAAAGGAAAGAGGTTTAATGGACTCATGGTTCAGTTCCACATGGCTGGGGAGGTGTCACAATCATGGCAGAAAGTGAAGGGGAAGCAAGACATGTCTTGCATGGTGGCAGGCAAGAGAGACAGCATGTGCAGGGGAACTGCCCTTTATAAAACCATCAGCTCTCATGAGACTTATTCATTATCATGAGAACAGAATGGGAAAAACCAGCCCCCATGATTCAATTACCTCCTACCAGGTCCCTCCCATGAAACGTGGCGATTATTACAAATTGAGATTTGGGTGGGGACACAGCCCAACCATATCAGTTATAATGGGTATTACAAAGGATACGGATGAAGAGATGCATAGGTCAAGGCATGGGGGAAAGGGCACGGAGCTTCCATGCCCTCTCTGAGTGTACCACCCTCCAGGAACCTCCATGCGTTCAGCTATCCAGAAGCTCTCTGAACTCCGCCCTTTCAGATTTTTATGGAGGCTTTATTATGTAGGCATGATTGATTGATTAAACCATTGGCCATTGGTGATCAACTTGACCTTCGGCCCTTCTCCTCGCCCCAGAGGTTGTGGGTGGGGCTGAAAGTCCTAACCCTCTAATCATGTCTTGGTGACTAGCCCTCATTCTGAAGTTACCTAGGGCCTACAAGCCATCAGTCAACTCATTAGCATACAAAAACATCGCTGTGCAGATTCCAAGGATTTTAGGAGTTGTATGCCAGTAACAGGATGGAAGATTAAATATATATTTTACAATATTACATTAATCCACACAAGGAACAATGGGGCACCTCTAGAACACAATTTTTTTTTCTTCACTTCAGTGCACCTGTGATCATCTAGACCAGGGATGTCCAATCTTTTGGCTTCTCTGGGCCACATTGGAAGAAGAAAAATTGTCTTGGGCCTCACATAAAACACACTAACAGTAATGATAGCTGATGGGCTAAAAAAAAAATTTTGCAAAAAAAATCTCATAGTATTTTAGGAAAGTTTATGAATTTGTGTTGGGCTGCATTCAAAGCCATCTTGGGCTGCATGCGGCCCATGGGCCCCAAGTTGGAAAAGCTTGGTCTAGAGCCTGGGTGACCACTCCTTCCTAGCCGTGCATATGTGGTATACACCTCTAGACCTTAACAGAATGGAAAGTGAAGCAAAGAAGGCTTCGATCTTAGAAAGTGTTTAGGGTCCCTAATCTCCTTATCAGCTACACCCTACTTGTGGTTCTGGGGATTCAGCTGGAGGCAGAGAGGCAGTGCCTGAGCCCTGAGACTTCTCTACATGGTATCCAATATATTTCTTGTTGTATCATGATAGCACCACGATTAACCCATAGTTAACCTTAGCATCACAGTGATTATGTGACCCTGGGGTAGCTCTGCCTCATCTAACCAGGCCAGGACCACTTGTGGGGATTCCAGAGTCATTAAATATGGAAAATGGGAAAAGCTATGAATTACTTCCGGCCTCATTTGGAAGAAGCTGGCTATTTAATAGGCAGCAATTCAAGATTCAGCAGAGGAGACAGGGCCTGGCATGCATTAACTGTGTTCCCATGAACACGCAGGAAACCTTGCCATTATTTACAATGAGGGAGCATCTGCTGCATGCCACGCAGCAGAAGGAGCAATGGCACATCACCTTGTTTCATTCTTAAGATATCTTCAGGTAGGCAGCATGATTTCCATTTTCAGAAGAGGTAACTGAGGCTCAGAGAGACCATGTGACTTGCCCATGTCACATAGACAATCAATGGCAGTGCAGGGCTACATCCATGCATTTTTCAAAACTTGGCATGGGGATTTTAATAAGAGAAATCATGCATTTTTTTACAATTAGAATGGGAATTTACATTCAAATAAAGGACACTTTCATTAATGGGGTTTGGGAATGTAGGATGTTATTCCCCTGCTACTTCCAAGGGAACTGCAGGAGAAGGTGTAGGAGGATGAGCAAAGTTAGTCAAGAATGGGTGCAGAGACAGTCTTGGATATGTTCCACTCCTGTTACTGATATATCACAGCCATCCTGCTCCTTGACTCCCCCACTTCAGCTTGAAAGAGCTCACCATGGACCAAGAAGGTGGCAGGTCCTGGATGAAATGCACTGCCTTAGTGTTTGTGTTTCCTCCAGCTTTCAGGCCCATGAGTGTCAGTTGCAGAGCATGTCTCCACTGATTCCCTGGCATGTGGCACAGGCAGCCCAAACAACCACTAGGGAGGCTTTGTTGCTGCCAGAGTTTTGAGCTGGGTTCTGCCACCCTCAGGAGCCCGGTTGGAAGCTCGGAGCCTTGTGTAGGACAAAAGTCATTCTGTGGCCCTGAGCTTTGGAGGGAAGTGTTGACATCTTGCTAATTAACACAAAAGAGGTGTTGCTCCCTATACACTCTTCCTTTGGAAGCAGAGAGTGCAGTCAACGTAAATTGAAATTTAGATTAGGATCCCCACTCCTCCTTTGATTAGCTCAGTGATTTTTGTCAAAGTCAAGCAACCTCTCTGAGTCTCAGGTGACTTCATTTGTTCCGTGGAATGTTCACATGAGAGATGCTGTCAATGTCTTAGTACAGGCCTTAACTCCAAATGGGCATTCAATAAATAATTGCAGTTATTATCCCGTTTTGCTACATGAAGTTTACTGAAATATAAACACATTATATTCATTACAACATTTTCACTCTTAAGTAACAAAACTCAACTTAAAACTAACCTAAACATAAACTAATAAATAAAATTTTATTTACTCAGCAAGACCAACTTTAGGTGCAGCTGGATTCAGGGATTCCAACAGTGATATCAGGACCCAGCTTCTCTTCACCCCTTAGTTCAGAGTCCCTGTGGGTATTGGCTGTATCCTGTAGACAGGCTGTGGCCACCCACAGCTCCAGATTCACATGTTTTCCAGCTTATTAATTCCCAATGCCCATTTATTATCAATCCAGGGAAGATTTTGATTGGCCTTGCTTAGATTACACAACTTACACCTGGACCAATCACTGTTGCTAGAGGCATAGAGCACCGAGATTGGCTAATCTGGAGTCACATGACCAACTCTGTGATGAGGAAGGGGATGTTGGTAGATGGCTGGGATGACACAGACTGGAGACGAGCCGTTCTTCAATGGCGTTAAGGATGCTAGGCTGAAGAAAACAAAGCAATATCTACC
Organism: Homo sapiens; assembly: GCF_000001405.40. NCBI lineage: Eukaryota > Metazoa > Chordata > Mammalia > Primates > Hominidae > Homo > Homo sapiens. The sequence goes on from NC_000009.12 coordinate 107,816,104, forward strand.
TCAAGAGCCTTAGAGAAAGAGGTATTTGCTCCTGACTCTTCCCTAGGTCTCCCTATGAGTCAGTCCTAGTCCAAGTAAATTTGTTTCTAAAGTCATTAAAGAGAATTCTGTTGGCTTAGAAATACATATAGCTTCCATCAAAGTAAAATAATTTGCAGAAGAGTTGCTGTTGAGCTGTGTGAATCTGAATTGTAAGTAGGACCCCCAGGCAAAGTCTGTGACTTTGGCTTAAAACACATGGAACTCAGGGCAAAATTTCACTCAGCCAGCTGGGTGTCACATGGATGTCTCCTGCTTCAGTTGCTTTAAGACCACTGCTGTGCACATCAGTATCGAAGGGCACATGGGAACTGTTCTGCCAGTATTCTGAAGGCCCCCTTTATTCCCCCCACCACCCAACTTTTCCAAAGCAGTAACAGCCAAACACCCAAAGCCTACCTTATGTCACACGGATAGTTCTTTGACTCTGTAAGCTATAAACTTGCCAGCTCTTTCTTGGCAAACATTTGCACATTGTGCTAGCTTGAGGTTGAGAAGGTCAGGATTTGCATTTGCAAACTGATAAGGATATTTCTGTTTCGATCCCTGTCAGTCTTTTGCAGTGGTAAGAACCACAGTCTTCCTTGTGAGCTTTTTTCCTAGTAGTTATTTTATTTGTTTCACAAATACTTGTTGAACACCTGTTTTGTGTAACAGGCTGTGTTAGAAGACGAAGCCCACACATGTGAGCCAGATGTGAGCTGTCCTTCATTGCCTTGCTCTACTTCTTCAGGCCCTCCTCCCTTTTCCCACCCCTGCCAATGTAGAGAAGGCTTCCAGCACCTCTCTTTACTCAAGAGTTCTAAAGGGAGATGGAGGAAGATTACTTTGCACACCTTAGCAAACAATTTACAACATTCCCCTGCAACATTTTCATCATTCAAGGTTGGTTCTAGGACATGGCCATGTGCTAGAGTCATGAGTTTCCTGCTTTCCCTTTTCCTCAGCTTTGCTGGCCTCAGTTTCTTCCATTACAGTATCCACTTCCCTCCCCCATTCCCACACATTTGGCACTCTTTTTTATGAAGTAGATCAATTAATCTATACCTGAGCTTCTACCTCCATTCTTATATATGCAAAAGGCATCGTAATGGTTAGAAGACTAAAGGACCCCCAGTTTCCAGAATGTATGCTCCTTATAAAGCAATGTTAATGTGATAGTTATCAGGCCCCATTTAGCACCCAAAGGGCATGGCAGCATTGCTCAAATGTGGACTGAGAATCTCTGCTCCAAGATGCTGGTTAAGAATTAAAATTCTCGGCCAGGCACAGTGGCTCACACCTATAATCCCAGCACTTTGGGAGGCCAAGGTGGGTGGATCATTTGAGGTCAGGAGTTGGAGACCAGCCTGGCCAACATGGTGAAACCCCGTCTCTACTAAAAATACAAAAATTAGCCAGGCATGGTGGCTCACGCCTGCAGTCTCAGCTACTCAGGAGGCTGAGGTACGAGAATCTCTTGAACCTGGTGAGAGGTGACAGCATGCTGGCAGTCCTCGTAGCCCTCGCTCGCTCTCGGCACCTCCTCTACCTGGGCTCCCACTTTGGCGGCACTTGAGGAGCCCTTCAGCCCGCCGCTGCACTGTGGGAGCCCCTTTCTGGGCTGGCCAAGGCCGGAGCCGGCTCCGTCAGCTTGCCCGGAGGTGTGGAGGGAGAGGCGCCGGCGGGAACCGGGGCTGCGCGCGGTGCTTGCAGGCCAGCGCGAGTTCCGGGTGGGCGTGGGCTCAGCGGGCCCCACACTGGGAGCGGCCGGCCGGCCCTGCCAGCCCCGGGAAGTGAGGGGCTTAGCACCCAGGCCAGCAGCTGCGGAGGGTGCGCCGGGTCCACCAGCAGTGCTGGCCCACCGGCACTGCGCTCGATTTCTCGCCGGGCCTTAGCTGCCTCCCCGCGGGGCAGGGCTTGCGACCTGCAGCCCGCCATGCCTGAGTCTCCCCCCACCCCACCTCGCGCCGTTGGTTCCTGCACAGCCTGAGCCTCCCCGACGAGCGCCGCCCCCTGCTCCACGGCCCCTGGTCCCATCACTGCCCAAGGGCTGAGGAGTGCGGGTGCACGGCGCGGGACTGGCAGGCAGCTCCACCGGCGGCCCCGGTGTGAGATCCACTGGGTGAAGCCAGCTGGGCTCCTGAGTCTGGTGGGGACTTGGAGAATCTTTATGTCTAGCTAGGGGATTGTAAATACACCAATGGGCACTCTGTAGCTAGCTCAAGGTTTGTAAACACACCAGTCAGCACTTTGTGTCTAGCTCAGGGTTTGTGAATGCACCAATTGACACTCTGTATCTAGCTACTCTGGTGGGGACTTGGAGAACCTTTGTGTCCACACTCTGTATCTAGCTAATCTAGTGGGAACGTGGAGAGCTTTTGTGTCTAGCTCAGGGATTGTAAATGCACCAATCAGCACCCTGTCAAAATGGACCAATCAGCTCTCTGTAAAATGGACCAATCGGCTCTCTGTAAAATGGCCCAATCATCAGGATGGGGGGGTGGTGGTGGGCGGTGCAGATAAGAGAATAAAAGCAGGCTGCCAGACCTAGCAGTGGCAACCGGCTGGGGTCTCTTTCCAGGCTGTGGGAGCTATGTTCTTTCGCTCTTTGCAAGAAGTCTTGGTGCTGCTCATTCTTTGAGTTAACATCGTTTTTATGAGCTGTAACACTCACCACGAAGGTCTGCAGCTTCACTCCAGAGCCAGCGAGACCATGAACCCACCAGAAGGAAGAAACTCCGAACACATCCAAAATCAGAAGGAACAAACTCTGGACACGCCCCATTTAAGAACTGTAACACTCACAGCGAGGGTCCGCGGCTTCATTCTTGAAGTCAGTGAGACCAAGAACCCACCAATTCCGGACACACTGGGAGGCGGAGGTTGCAGTGAGCAGAGCACACCATTGCACTCCAGCCTGGGCAGCAGAGTGAGACTCTGTCTCCAAAAAAAAAAAGAAAAGAAAATTTTGGAGCCCTACCCCAGGTAAACAGAATGAGAATCTCTCTGGGCAGGAGTAGTTGTTCTGAACTCTGTTGGGCTATAGGATTCACCTGGAGAGATTTTGTCTTTTTGTTTTGTTATTCAATTGTCCCCAAGTGATTGAAATATGGAGCCGGGATTGCCAGTCTTTGGATTAGAGGCACCTGCATTTTTTACAAGCATCTCAGTGACTCTTAGCCTGCTAATGTTTGCATTGTAGAAGTTTAGAGGATAAAATATAATTTTCTTCTGGAGTTCGGGGAAGGTGGAGTGAGGAGAAAACTTCCTAGGTGAGTGGTTTTGTGGGTGAAATTGGGAAAAGTGAGTGGGGTTTCATTAGTTGTGGGGAAAGGGGAACATGGACAGTTTAAATCATTACATGTTTAAATTCTAGGTTGTTTAAAACAGAGCTAGTGGTAGCCCAGCTTTGAAAGTAGATCCAACTCTAAAATGACATCCTTATTTGCCTGTAAGCATTTAAAATACTTCTTGTCCTTCCTATGATCATACACCCTTTTCCTCCCCTCTAAGGAGACAAATTCACAGGTACAGTCACTAAGGGTCGTGGATTTTTCTAAAACTTCTGCCCCACTGATGTAGTAAGTCATGAAAATATTCCAGACATGCCAATGTTTAAATCTTCAAATTCCATTTCCAAGATGACCTCTGGCATTTGAAAGTGACACAAAGGTCTGTTGACAACCGCAAGTTTCAGCTGAGCGTTTTAATAATAAGGCCTCCGCCTCCCAGGCGGCCAATAACACCAGCTCTCATCAGTGTGCTGGGACAGGCGTGCGCACCGCACCAAGCCAGCTGAGGCCAAGCCTGATAACAATCAGTCAATACTGAGATCAGGCCGCTGATTGCTTTTCTCAACTTAATGCTGTTTGTTTAACTAACACCAGTGAGAGTCCTTATTAAGGGCTGTTAACACTCTGAAATGGTGTTTGTTGAGCTTGCCAAAGTGATAAGTGATGCTGTGTTTACTCTCTTGTTCTCAAGGCTGATGGAGAAGCCTAAAACACAGTTTTGAAGTGCTTCGCTCTAATGAAGATACTAGTGAGTTCCACAAATAAGCCAATGGTTTGAGAACAGAATCACGAAGGCTAAAAAAAGTTTGCAAATGTTTGTTGGCTTGTAATGGATTTGCTTGATGATAACCACAAAGCATACACACACACACTACCCACTCATACACATTTCATTGTGTCCAAATACATCTTAAGATCTGTGCTCTTTTACTCTCAGCTCTGAGTGTAGAATGCAAGTGCTTTCTTTCCCAAACATGCGAGTGAATTGTGCGTGCTTGTGTTCAGAAGGAGAGAAAACATCAGATGGCCGGAAACATAGAGTGAGGGACTGCTTTCCCCAAACTCGTGCCCTCTAACATAAGCAAATGCTGGCTTTCCTGGAGAGCTAGCTTTCTTCAGGACTCTTATCCACTGTGACTCCAGTGGATTTTGGGGAGGGAGGGGTCTCTACTATTGAAAGAAAGAAAAAGGGAAGAAAGGAAAAGAAGCAGGAGGGAGAGGAGGAGGAATGTGAGGAAGAAAAGGAAAGAAGAAAGGAAAAGGAGGTAGGAGAGGGAGGCAGGAAGGCAAGAAAGAAGGAGTAAGAAAAGACCATCATTCTAATTTAAGCCCCTCATTTTAAAATAGAAAAACTGAGTTTCGGAGACAGAAAATTTCGAATGCGAAGTTGCATAACAAATCGTAAATAGAGGAAACAATGGTCTGCAAAGTCCAGGTTTTTTTATTTTCAATCCTTTTTTTTTTTTTTTTTTGCTACACTTTGCTGTGTAGCAAACATGTTGAGAAAACATGTTGCTGGTGGGAGCTATTTCCATATTTCACCTGTTTTGACATTGGCAGTGAATAGCTGGTCCTTAGGGAAGCTTTCTTTCAAAGGGAGATAAAACTGTTTTTAAATATTGAGCAGGAAAAGCTGTCACAGATTTCAGATATACTATGGAAGAGGTTTTAAATACAAGTGTGTGCCTGTTGAATTTTAATCGTGAAATGTAGCATTATTGAAATGCTTGCTTTTTTTTTATCACCATAGTTCTGAATTATTTAAAGAACATTAAATGATACTAATTTAGGTTGGAAAGTGGAAAAAGCTACAATCACTTCTCAGTAAACTAGGATCGGGGATTGGAGTAGAAAACCACAGAATATTGGTTGAGGGAATTCACAAAAATAAAAACATAGCAGAGGCTTAAATAGTCATCACCGCTCACCACACACAGAGGCTTCCTAATAGCTGGTTAACTTAAGTGAGAGACTTCCCTAAGACAGGAGTAAATTTTGGGGCTGGGCCTCTTGGAGGAGGGTCAAGGGGGAAAATCCTAACAGACAAACCTCTGGGCTCCATCCCAAGCTTCCCTAGAACTGCTCCACTTTAATCTTCTCATATTTTGAAATATTTACTATGTATCAGGGACTTTTCCAAACATTATACATGTGCTAATTTATTTAATCTTTACAACCCTGTGAGGTTGACATTGTTGTTATCGTCAAGGTCAAAACGGCTAATAAATTGCAGAACTGGAATTGAGACCAAGGCAATTCAGTTCTGAGTGTATGTCCTCAACTGCATGCCACACTTACTCTGAAATTTGCAAGGATCATCTGGAGGCAATGCTGTAGACTCGGCATGCACGAATGGCCGTCTACATCACTTCATGGTGCTGCGCATGTTGGACAGCAGATTATGCCCTTTAGCCGTGGGATGTGGCACTAGGGTAGCAGTGGGCATGGTGTTTCCTTCTCCTTGAAATTCTTTTCTTTGACTGGGTGCGGTGGCTAACACCTGTAATCCCAACCCTTTGGGAAGCCAAGGCTGGTAGCATTGCTTGAGCTCAGGAGTTTGAGACAAGCCCGGGCAACATAGCAAGACCTAGCCTCTACTAAAAATAAAATTAGCCAGGCATGGAGGTGCACACCTGTAGTGTCCCAGCTACTCGGAAGGCTGAGGTGGGAGGATCACTTGAACCCAGAAGATGGAGACTACAATGAGCTGTGATCACACCGCTGCACTCCAACCTGGGAGACAGAGCAAGACCCAGTCTCAAAAAAAAAAAAAAAAAAAAAAAAATTTTTTTTTTTTGTTAATTCTTGCTTCTGAGCCTTGACCATGGTGTATTTGGGAAGTAAGAAGAAAAGGAGTGTTCAGAGAGGTTGTTGATAAGCCCATTCTCAGCAAATTCCTCTAGACTCTTCAGCAGATGTTGCAGTTTGAGTTAGATGGTTCGGTTATGAGATGCCTGATTACTGCTGTTTATCAGCTTTGAACTTTGTGGGTGATGCTTTTCTCCGAGCTGAATCTTGGTAGGGTATACAAACATTGACTTCCTGAGTATGTAAACCTCGTTAAACTTTTCAAACCAGGAATATAATAATTGAAAAATCTGTTTTACTCTGCTATAATCATGCATTTCAGGAAATTCAGGAGCCAACAGAGAAAGATACTTCAGAATGGGAACAGATGTCAACCTTTTGCATTTTAAGAGTAGTGACATAAAATGTTCATTTTACTGTGGAAACGAGCCCACAATGTGTGCTCAGTTAATGCTAGAATTAAAAAAATTTAATAGTCACAAACTCAAGTATTTCTGAAGGTTTTGATTGGCCGCTGACTTTAAGGACTATATTGACCACCCCAGCTATTTGCAATAAACAAAAACAAACAATGGAAAACAAATCTTAATAACAATGTCCTCAGATTCTTAGCATTTCTATTTGTCTACTGTTTATTTTTTTCAAACTTATCATTTGTGATATATAAGACACTCCACAGACCAGTGGCTTGGTATTCAAGGCCCTCACTATTTGATTTGCAACTGGCCTTACATCCGTTTTACATCTATTTAGTTAAAACTATGTTGCCTGAAAATAACAGAAAGTCCCACCGACAGTGGAACAAACAATTAAGGAATATATTCGTCTCATGCAACAGGAAGTTCAAGGTAGACAGTTTAGGGCTAGTATGGCAGCATGTGTACGCCACCAGCAACCCTGGTTCCTTTTATTTTCCTGGTCTGCCATTCACAGACTATAACTTTCTTCACAGAAGATGAGATGGCTTCTGCACTTCCAGGCATGGCTTCTGCCTGGGCTAAAATAAAGGTGAAGAGTGATGGGTAAAGGGCTTTCTCATAGCAGGGCTTTTGGAAAGAGTGTCCTGGACAAGAACTTCTGCCAGATCTCATCGGCCAGAGTACTATGGAGCCGGGAAGATCCACATATCTTTAGCTGGGACCATTGTCACTCAGAACAAAGTTGGGTTTTCTGTGAAAGGAAGAAGGAAATGGCAGTAGGAATGGTCATTACCAGTGTCTGCTGCACACAGCTGTGCTGCCAGAATAAATGCCTTGCAGTGCCCTGTTCATATCCATGGACCCCCCGTTCACATTTCTGCTTATACTCTTCTTTCATCCTGAAATATTTTCACCTCCATTCTAATATTCTTATTTCCACAATTTCAAGATCCCCCTGTCTCTGGGGTACCTTTTTTCTCAGCACCTTTCCTGACATCCTTATCCCAGTGGGCAGGGGTCTCCATCTTCCCGCATTCCCACTGCCCTTTACCATCGGAGAGCCTGAGGATGTGACTTCCCTCCAGCCATCCCTGCAGTTTGGCTACCACATTCTGCAAAGCAGGGTAGAGGGCTAGTGTTCCCTAGAGAGGCTACCCTTCTCCCACTGTGTTTTGTCCAGGAGAGACACTAAATGAGTGGGGGTAGATATTTACACTTTACAACTAAGACACAAAAGGAGGCATTTTTGTTTTCTATTGTTGGGGAGATCGTACTAACTAGTTTGCTTGGGACAGTTCTGATTTATGCTTGCTATTCTGGAGAAATTATTAATAGCGCCCCCTTTCACCCTCAGAAGTGTCCCAGTTTAAAAAAAATAAATTCTGTGTTTATCGATAAATGACCTTATTTTGCAATGGAACTTCCACTCCCATTCCCTGGGGGATGGGTGGGGAGGAGAAGTTTGCCGGTTAAGGGAAACTCTGTCTCTCTGGTTTAAAACACTTTCATCTGGATTAACTCACAGTCAATTAGATATGTACTTGGCTTATTCCAAATCTAAACTCTATCAGAGCTGTTTCTGCCCTTCGGTCTCAGGATCTTCTTTTTTCCAAAATGTGTCTGAGAGCAAGTCCCTTGTCCAAAGCACCAATGTCAACCATTTCTAAAACTTGTCTGCTATGCCAGCATTTGGAGTTCACAGCTATATTAAGAGTTTTGGTATTATCCTTTACTTCTTCTCCCATCTATGGCTTTTAATTTTACAGGGAGTTGGAGGTGACATTTGACCTCCTTCTTCCTCATCTTCCTTTATTTTTGTCTTGTGAGCATTTTCTGTTTCTTCTCCTTTAACTTATAGCTTGTAGGAAACTCTCAATCCCAAGTCCACTAGACTTGAGTTTTGATAGGTAATGGAATGTAGAAAGCCATATTTTCCTTTCAATGAAGTTTAATTAATTAATTTATTTTTTTATTTAATAAGGAATATATGCTTCTGGGCAGAAAGAGGGAAAATCATGAGCAATGATATGTGGGTTGAGAAGGGGAGAAAAAGACAATTCTGTATTTTCCCCCAAAGGATGATCCCTGTTATAGCTACTTACTGAGTGACTTGATAAACGTGTGACTTCATACAACTTTCCAGAAGCTACCTAATGCCAAAAACCATGAAGAAAGAGTATATATGTGCTAATACCCTTGTAACACAGTGGAATTCGGTGTCTCTACTGGCACTCCTCATGGACCCTCACCCTTCAAGGGTGGTCCTGGCTATTGTTGGAGCCCCAGATCATTTCACTCCCCAGCCAACTCTCTGGGCCTTGCAGTGATTCGCTTATAAATGTAGAAAACAGAATTTATTCTGCATCACCAGATAAAGACTGAGCAGTCTAAAGAAAGTTCAGTGCATTAAAACTGCTTTAAATCTTCCAGATTATGGCAAAACGGCTAGGTAGAGAAAAGAAGTGAGCTCTATTCTCTGTTTCACTGTGGCTAAACTGTGCATTGGTTTCTAATTTTATTATTGCCCATAAAATAAGCGCAGTGTTATATGTGTTTATTATATATATATTATATATATATATTTATTTATATACGTATATTTAATTTCCAAGAGAGCTTTAGAAAAATTTTGTAAGACAGCTGTGGAGTCGATGAAAAATGCTGAACTTGAAATCTGAGGACCTGGATTTGGATCTTCATCTAACTCCCTATAAAATTGCTTAGTCTTGGTTTCTTCCTCTGTAATAAGGATTATACCTACCTCACAAAATTGCGACAAGAATTAAATGAGATAATGCAATTGGTGATGCATTGTAAAATAATTTATTAGATATGAAAGCATCCAATGTTTTTAAGAGAGAAATTTATCTATGTAGCAAATGTTATATCCAGACATTGTGAGCACAAACTGTGAAAGCAGATCTAAGCATCTAAATTTATAGATACACAATGGTACCTAGCAGCGGGGAATTGTGACAGCCTGGAAAGTCATCTTTCCAAGGCTAAAAATGGGCCAGGCGTAGTAGCTCATGCCTGTAATTTCAGCAGTTTTGGAGGCCGAGGTGGGAGGATCACTTGAGCCCGGGAATTTGAGACCAGCCTGGGCAACATAGGGAGACCCTGTCTCTTCAAAAAATTAAAAAACTTGGCCAGGTGTGGTGGCGCATGCCTGTAGTTCCAGCTACTTGGGGGGGCTGAGGTGGAAGGATTGCTTGAGTCTGGGAGGTCAAGGCTGCAGTGAGCCATGATCACGCCATTGCACTCCAGTCTGGATGACAGAGCTGATCCCGTCTGAAAAAAAAACCCCAAAAACCAAACCAAACCAAACAAAAAAAATGCTAAAGAGGCAAAAAGTTGATGACAAAGGCCAGAGGGGGACTCTGTTTCTTTTCCAAGCTCTGGGTAGGCAGTGTCTCCTGGAAAGAAGGATGTGTTCCTCTCACTAAATTGTAATTAAGGCAAGCAATAAAATAAAGTTCCCTGATGTTTGCATAGGCTTTTTTTTTTTCTTCAAGGAGAGCCAGGGAGTCAAACCCTGCCTGTCGCACTCCAAAACTTAAAATTGTCTTCCTGTCCATGAGGATTAATACTTTTGTTTTCAAAAAGGCTATTGGTCCATGGAAGAAAGAGAAACTTCCTTTTTGAAAAGAAAACCTCAGTGCTGCAAAGAAAGTTCATGAAGATGGTATATCCATGAAGGTCCTTTCTCTTCCTAATAATAGCTAAGAAGTGTTTCCAAGTGTGAATAGGGAGTCTGATCATTCTGGTGATCCTTTGAAGCTCCCTCTACTGGGGTCCTGTCTTCTCTTTTCTTTCTTTTCTTTTCTTTCCCTTTCCCTTTCCCTTTCCCTTTCCCTTTCCCTTTCCCTTTCCCTTTCCCTTTCCCTTTCCCTTTCCGAGTCTCGCTCTGTCGCCCAGGCTGTAGTGCAGTGGCGCAATCTCGGCTCACTGCAAGCTCCGCCTCCCGGGTTCACGCCATTCTCCTGCCTCAGCCTCCGGGCTAGCTGGGACTACAGGCGCCCGCCACTGTGCCAGGCTAATTTTTTGTATTTTTAGTAGAGATGGGGTTTCACCATATTAGCCAGGATGGTCTCGATCTCCTGACTTCGTGACCCACCCGCCTCGACTTCCCAAAGTGCTGGGATTACAGGCATGAGTCACCGCGCCCGGCCCAGATTTCATCTTTTCAAGGAATCCTGATCTCTTGGGAGCTAGAGAGATGGTTTGCCTTAGCTTATTTGTGTGACCAAGGAGACAGACAAAAGACTTCTCTTTCCAGGAATTCAAATTCCTAGAATCCTGGGACCTTGGAGAAGAAAAAGAAGTAGTACTAGTGGGCTACTTGCTCTTTAAAGAGCTGGATCTTACCGCTTCTTTTGAAATGTGGTGTGAGGGCAGTATAGAGAGTTCTTTCACCTGAGGACCTGCAGAGTCTGCTCCATAGGGGAATGAACAAATGATTGCATCCATCTTGTAAACCTGTTTCCTCAAAGCCTGACATCTGAGGCTGAGGCAGGAGAATGGCATGAAGCGGGGGGAGGCGGAGCTTGTAGTTAGCCGAGATCACACCACTGCACTCCAGCCTGGGCGACTGAGCGAGGCTCCGTCTCAAAAAAAAAAACCTGACATCTGGCACAGAGTAGGTGCTCATTAAATATTAAATGATTGAATGAATGCAATAATGCATTTCTGAACAGTTCTCAAAGCTGACATCCAGTGAGTGGAGTAGGGGACAGAGGTACTTATATTATTAGTAATATGTATTGTATTTGCATGTCTGTTACTTCATTCACTTTAGCTCAACTACAGAAACAGAGAGAGATAAAGATAGAGAGGGAAAGCATGTGCGTGAGAGAATTGCACATGATACATGATTCTTATTGACTAGATAAGGAAACTGAAAATTGAGTGACTAAGCTTCTTGTTCAAGGTTACAATGAGGCAGATCTCAGGCTCATACCTAGGCCTGTCTGGCTGGAAAACCAGCACTCTGTGTCCCCACTCTGTTGTGCTAAGTGATATCCTTGGCGTGGAAGGGGAAGTCAGCAGTCAGAGTAGAAAAATCAGCATTCACGAAGATGGAAGACGGGGAGGTGAAGTGGGATGTAACCAGACATCCTGTGGAAGGGCAGTCATTGCATTTTCTAATTGCTTTGAAATCCAGGTTTACAATTCTTGAGAAATGAATTTTATTTTTTTGAGGCTACTGAAAAACTGTAGTTTGAGTCCCCTTAAGATCTGTCACTGATGTTTTGGCAGATATCTGGACATTTCTTGGCTGGCTGTTATATATCTAGAAGTGCTAGACTATTCCATGTACATTCTGTTATTCCATCCTCATAAGGACCCAGTGAGATGTTTTAATCTCCATTTTATAAATCCAGGAACTGAGTTTCAAAGAAATAAGTGATTTCACTTGAGGTCATACACTATAATTGGCAGAGCCAGTGTATGAATCAAGAAATGTCTGTCAGTTAAGTGTTCCTTGTTTATTTTTATCTTTTATTGACGTATCATAATTGTACATATTTCTGGGGTACATGTAACATTTGGATACATGTATACAATGTATAATAATCAAAGGTAATTAGGATATCTATCACATCAAACATTTATCTTTTCGTTTTTGTTTTAAGACAAGGTCTCACTCTGTCTCCCAGGCTTGAGTGCAGTGGCATGATCACTGCAGCCTCTACCTCCTGGGATCAGGCAATTCTCTCACCTCAGCCTCCCAAGTAGCTGGGACCACAGGCATATGCTACCACATCTGGCAAATTTTTTAAAACTATTTGTAGAGACAGGGTTTCCTTATTTTGCCCAGGCTGATCTTGAACTGCTGGGCTCAAGTGATCCTCCTGCTTCAGCCTCCCAAAGTGCTGGGATTATAGGTGTGAGCCACAGCACTTAGTCAACATTTATCTTTTCTTTGTATTGAGAACATTATAATTATTTTCTTCTAGCTATTCTGAAATATATAATAAATAACTGCTAACTCTAATTTCCTTACTGTAATATCAAATGCTAGAACTTATTCTTTCAATCTGACTGTATATCTGTACCCATTAACCAACTTCTCTTCCTCCTCCCCATCCCAGCTTCCCTTTCCAGTCTCTGGTAATTACTGTTCTCTCTACATCCATTAGATCCATTTTTTGTTCTTTAGCTCATACATATGAGTGAGAACACACAATATTTGTTTTTCTGTGCCTGGCTTATTTCACTTAACATAATCACCTCTAGTTCTATCCATGTTGCTGTAAATGACAGTTTTTTTTTTTTTTTTAAGGCTGAATAATACACCATTGTGTATATGTACCATATTTTCTTCATTCATCTGTTGATGGATGCTTGGGTTGATCTCATATCTTGGTGGTTATGAATAGTGCTGCAGTAAACATAGGGGGGTGCAGATATCTCTTTGACATACTGATTCTCTTTCTTTTGGAGATATATCCAGCAGTGGCATTGCTGAATCATATGGTAGTTCTATTTTTAGTTTTTTGGGGGAACCCCCATACTGTTTTTCATAATGGCTGTTCTACTTTGCCATCAATAGTGTCTTAGCATTCCCCTTTTCTGCATCCTCACCAGCACTTGTTATTATTTGTCTTTTTGATAATAGCCATTCTAACTGGGCGAGATGATATCACACTGTGGTTTTGATTTGCATTTCCCTGATGATTAGTGATGTTGAGCATTTTAAAATATACCTGTAAGCCATTTATATTTCTCCTCCTCCTCCTCCTTTTTCTTCTTCTCCCCTTCCCCCTACCCTACCCTTTCTCCTTTTCCTTCTTGATGGGGTCTTGCTATGTTTCCCAGGCTAGCCTCAAACTCTTGGGCTCAAGTAATCCACCTCAGCCTCCCAAGTAGCTGGGACTACAGGCACACACTACCACTTCCAGCTTCCATTTATATTTCTTCTTTTGAGAAATGTCTATTCAGGTCTTTTGCCCATGTTTAAGGAAGATTATTTGTTTTTCTGCTATTGAGGTGTTTTAGTTTCTTATATATTCTGGTTATTAATCTCTTGTCAGATGGATAGTTTGCAAATATTTTCTACCATTCTGTAGGTTGTCTCTTTACTTTGTTAAGTGTTTTCTTTGCTATGGAGAAGCTTTTTAGCTGATTTAGTTCCATTTGTCTATTTTTGCTTTTGTTGTCTGTGCTTTTGAGGCCTTACACCAAAAAAATCTTTGCCCAGACAAAGGTCCTATAGCATTTCTCTAATGTTTTCTTCTAATAGTTTCATACTTTTGGGTCTTACATTTAAGTCTAATCAATTTTGAGTTGATTTTTGTGTATGGTGGAAGATAGAAATCTAGTTTCATTCTTCTGCATATGAGTATCCAGTTTTTCCAGAGCTATTTATTAAGGACACTGTCATTTCCCCGGTGTATGTTCTTGGTGCCTTTGTCAAAAATTAGTTGACTGTGTGTGGATTTGTTTATTGTTTCTCTACCCTGTTTCATTGATCTATGTGTCTGTTTTTATGCCAGTACCATGCTGTGTTGGTTATTATAGCTTTGTAGTATAACTTGAAATCAGATAGTATGATGCCTCCAGGTTTGTTCTCTTTGCTCAGGATTGGTTTAGCTATTTGAGGTCTTTCCTAGTTCAACATAAATTTTAGGATTATTTGTTTTATTTCTGTAAAAAATGTCACCAGTATTTTAATAGAGATTATATTAAATCTGTAGATTGTTTTGGGTAGTACAGACATTTTATCAATATTAATTCTTTCAATTCATGAATGTAGGATATCTTTCCATTTTTTTCTGTCCTTTTCAATTTCTCTCATCAGTGAGAGATCTTTTACTTTTTTGGTTAAATGTATTCCTAGGGTGTGTGTGTGTTGACTGCAAATTGTATTGCTTTCCTGATTTCTTTTTCAGATTGATTGCTGTTAGTGTATGGCAACACTATCGATTTTTGTATGTTGATTTTGTGTCCTGTAACTTCACTAAATTCATTTATCAGTTCTAAGGGTTTTTGGTGGAGCCTAAAGGTTTTTGTAAATATAAGATTGTGTCATCTGCAAACAAGGATAATCCGACTTTCTCCTTTCCAATTTGGATGCCCTTTATTTATTTCTCTTGCCAAATTACTCTGGCTAGGACTTCTAGTACTATGTTAAATAAAAGCAGTGAAAGTGGGAATCCTTGTCTTGGTCCAGATCTTAGTGGAAGTGCTTTCAGTTTTTTGCCATTCAGTGTATTAGCCGTAGGCTTGTCCTATATGGTCTTTATTGTGTTGAGATGTTCCTTCTATATGCTGTTTGTTGACAGCTTTTATCATAAAGCAATGTTGCATTTTATTTAAATTTTTAGCATCTAATGAAATGATCATAAGGTTTTTTTATCCCTGATTCTATTTATGTGATGAAGTGTTCTTTTTAGTTCTCTCAGCTTGATGACATTGCAGTTGACTAAAAAAAAAATAGAGAGAAAAAAAGAAGAAAGTCTAGAAGCCCAACTAATTATTTGAGAAGCAGACAAACTGTGCCAGAAGTTATCTTGCTCTGTCTTCTAGAAGAAACCTATCATTATCTGTGGAATAAAAACACTAACATCCTTGCAGCTAATTAATGTTGTTTTAGTTTTCAAGGTTTCTTCTCACATGTTTATTCATTCAGCAAATGTTTATTGAGTGCCTGCTTTGTGTTCATGATTCTCTAGACCTCAAGAAAATAGCTAGGACAGGCTGGGCATGGTGGCTCACGCCTGTAATTCCAGCACATTTGGAGGCCAAGGTGGGCAGGTAACACTTGAGTCCAGGAGTTTGAGACCAGCCTGGGCAACACGGCAAAACCCATTTCTACAAAAAATTGCTGGGAGTGGTAGTATGCACCTGTAGTTTCAGTTACTTGGGAGGCTGAAGTGAAAGGATTGCTTGAGCCTGGGAGGTGGAGGTTGCAATGAGCTAAGATATCACTACTGTACTCCAGCCTGGATGACAGGGTGAGAACTTGTTTAAAAAAATAAATAAATAAAACATAACAAAAACAACTCTTATTTGTCTCCCAGCAGGGGAGAAAGATGGCAGCAACTTTTATTCTATTTTATTAAACAGCTATGTTGAGATAGACTTCACATACTATAAATTCTACCCTCTGAAAGTGTGTAATTCAGAGGTTTTTAGTATATCACAAAGTTGTGCAACCATTACCACTACCTGATTCCAGATCAATTTCAAATGGATATCTAATTTGTTAGGAGTGACAAGGTCACCGAAGACAAATAAGTGGGGTGAGGTGACAACATTGCTAGTTTACCTGCAGTGATCAAGAGAAGGCTTGCCAGATACGGTGATATTGGAGCAGAAACCTGCATGCAGTGAGGGAGTGAGACCTGGATATCTGGGGAAAGAATGGTCCTTGGAGAAAACAGTGCCAGATCCCGAGGCAGGAGCACATCCAGTGTTCAGGGAAGAGTAAAGAGATCAGTGAGAGGCTGGGTGTGTGGTTCACGCCTGTAATTCCAGTACTTTTGGAGGTTGAGGTGGGTGGATCTCTTGAGTCCAGGAGTTCGAGACCAGCCTGGGCAACATGGCAAAACCCTGTCTCTACCAAAAACATGAAAAATTATCCAGGCATGATGGTGCCTGCCTGTGGTCCCACCTACTCAAGAGGCTGAAGTAGAAGAATCACCTGAGCCCATGAGGCTGTGAGTTTGCAGTAAGCAGAGATGGTGCCACTGCCCTCCAGCCTGGAAGACAGAGTGAGGCCCTCTCTCAAAAATAAAAACAAACAAAAAGATCAGTGAGAAGAGTCAAGGGCCCAGGAAGGGAGATGGTCCTATCCGAGTGTTATAAGGGATCATGTGTTGGAGCACTTGGTACAATGCCTGGTACACGGTACATGAAAGGTGTGATTATTATTGCTGTTCTCATCTTAAGGGCACCAGGCACTTTGCTTCCTGAGCACCAAGGCTCTGTTTCACCTTTGCATGCCCCTGCAGACAAGACCAATGATGTGGACCAATGATGTCGCCTTAATGTGAAGAGTCATTAAACATCCATTGAGTGGAAGAAGTTTCTTTAGTCTTTAATAACCTTTGTTTGCTCTAGGAATGAGCAGAAATATACATGCTCAGATGGACTGATAAACCACAAAGTCCAATTTTAACTCTTCCTACCAACGGGGCATTGTTTTCTCGAAGGCTTTAAAAATTTCTATTTCCTTGAGAGGCGGGGTGGGATGAAGATTTTTTTTTTTTTCCTTGGCTTCTTGTTGAAGGCGGCTCTGTGATGGGGTTTCTTTATAGTTGGGCAAGGGGCTGTCTGGGTCAAAGTGACAGCCAACGTGTGCTGCTATTACAACACATTACACAAATAGCTCTACATAATTGCTACCATCCATCAATTTGGGGAGATCCGTGGTGAGAGACGCTGCCAGTTTCTTGGAATGAAAACTAAAGCTCCAAATAGCCCATACAGTCACACTCACTAATCAATGCCAGTTTTTCTAAGGGAGGGTAAAATTGGTCTAGTCACCAATTCAGCCTTGAAAAGGATTCCCTTGTGTGTCCTTCATGTGGATTTCAAGCCTGTTTCCTCAATGCTCTCTTTACATTTTTTTTCCTTGAATCTCTCCCAAACTCTTTTTATCATAGTATTTTTTGCTCTGCATTTTCCTATGTTGCAAGCTGAAGTCTTTGTTGAGCTGGCTAAGGATGGTTAGCTTTCTGATGGGTTTAGGTTAATCTAACCACCGTGGGCAGCAGGACAGAACGTCTCAGCTCCATGTGCAGTTGGGAGTTCTCATTGACCAGCTTCTCTGTCTGCATGGGTTGAGTTAACCTGATTATTTCTCAATTTCTATTTCATTCTGGATTGGAAAAAGAGTAACCATGAGTTACAAAAACAAACAAGTGGAAAAAAAAAAAACATGTTAGAGGTACAGCATTCCAAATTGTGAAATCTCTCAATAGTCACATCTTGCTCTTCAACTCAGTCATTCTAAGACACTGGGCCGTAAGCACTGTGCAGCAGGCAGGGCTGTATAGGGCAGGGCTAATGGCAGTGTATCTGACACGAAGAGGCAGAAAAATCTTATTGAATTGATGCTGAAGTAATGAAGTCACATTCTTGTTGATCGAAAATACAATTAAACAGAAAATTCCCACAAATAAGGCCCTTTTGAGCAGTGCTATATATGGTCAACAGCTTGCCTTGTAATAACTCCGAGGGACTCTACAAACTCGTGGAATGTGAGAACCTTGTTTAGTTCCCCTGAGAATGGGCCATACGGTCTCTTTAGCAGTGGTAATGGTGGAGGGTGTATGTGTTCCACAGATCCATGTTACAGACACGGCCGACAACTTTCCACCCCCAGCACATAGTCTGGTTTTCCTTCTCCATGAGAAGTGGTCTCCCTTGATACGAAAAGCCCTCTTCCATCAGAATGCCCCTTGAGGCATGAGCCCCTATCAAAGGATGAGATGGGGGAGCCTATGAGGTTCCTTTGGCTTCATGTTCCATGCTCTATCTGGATCCTCTAGTAATGTTCATCTGAATGAATCCTCCATGTTCTCCAGAATGGTATAGCCTATTATTATACTAGCCAGAATTATTTTTTTTTGTGTGGATAATCAATAGGAAATAAAAGAATTCAAGGGTGATTTGGTGTTTGCAGAAATCCTTAGAAGTTCTTTAAGAGGAAAAAAAGTAAGTCTTGCTTAAAACCCTCAAGCCAAGGGACATGGTTCTTTTTCATGGATAAGTGCTACTGAGAAAAATGCAATAAAACATGTCATTCTTTCCGGTCAATAGACACTAGACATTTAAATTTTCTGTTATTGTTTTTTTGAAGTGAACATACACTCAAAGTTTTATTGTCTTCATCATAAAACAAAAGATGACACTTAGAACCGGATCGCTTGGCCCTTTGTCTTTGTACCTCCTCCCAGTTCAAAATCCTTGTATCTCTTAATGGCCAGCACTTTTGTAGATCTGCAGTTGGGCTCAATGCACTCAAGCCTCAGCACAATCTTCTTTGTAGTTTTAGCCTTTTTCCTGAAAATGGGCTCAGTCTGCCCGCAATAGCCACTTGGCTTCCTATTATAGCACTTCTTTCCCTGGGCATACAGAGAATCTTTGCCCATCTCATTCTGTGTCACTTTGTGGGACTGGTGCTTGACACACTTGTTACAGAAAGTCCGGTGGGTTTTAGGAACATTCACCATACTTGCGGGAGTGCTGTGGGCACAGAAGTGCATTTAAATTTTCTTGGGCAAAACAGGATTAAAAAAAGGTAGTTTTAACTTTTCTGGGTGCTGGCGTAGTTAAAGAGATGGTCAGGTAATTAACTCTCCCCTCCTGGCAGGCAGCATATAATAATAGCAGTATAATAATGAGAAAGAGAGTATGTTATATTTGAGTAGCACTCTATACTCTGAAACTGCATTCACCTGCATTTTCACTTGATCCTCCTAATAAGCCTGTGAGGACACTTAGGCAGGCATTACACAGATAAGGAAACCGAGGATCATAGAGAAAGTGGAAAGCGACTTTTTCAAGATCTCATAGTTAAATGGTGACTTTTGAACTTGGGTTTCCCTACTCTCCAGCTGTCACCTTCTCTGCTAGAAGAGGGGTGGTGAGGAGGGGAAGAATATTTCCTCCCAATTTTTTTGTTTCAGTGGTTGATTGACCCTCAAGAGAGACTCCCTTTATTTCGGCTCTCAGGAGTCTGAGGTACTGTTTGCCCAAAACAGGCTTAAAAACCAAACAAACATAAAAACAGAGGCTGGGCACGGTGGCTCATGCCTATAATCCCAGTGCTTTGGGAGTCTGAGGCAGGCAGATCACTTGAGGACAGGAGTTCGAGACCAGCCTGGCCATCATGGCGAAACCTCATCTCTACTAAAAATACAAAAATTAGCCGGGCGTGGTGGCCCGTGCCTGTAATCCCAGCTACTTGGGAAGCTGAGGCAGGAGAATCGCTTGAACCCAGGAGGCGAAGGCTGTAGTGAGCCAAGATCATGCCACTACACTCCAGCCTGGGTGACAAAGTGGGACTCTTTCTCAAAAACCAACCAACCAACAAATAAAACATTCTAGCTGGCTTTGCCAGGCCTGCTGCTTTGGGGCCAGTGAAGAAGTGTGCTCACCTCCCACGCTTGTACAAGTTTCCTCAGGGCAGGCCCTGACCAAATCTCCATCACCGCTTATCTCAAGCTTGTCCGATGCTACCACTTTCTATGGTGAGGACTTCTGTCCTTGAGGTTGCCACCTATAGTGCCCAGCCTTAGAGTCATTTTCTTTCCTGCTTTGCTAACACCTGTCCTTGAAAACCTCACTTTTTCTCTGCTGGGAAAAGTGCCTTTGTGCCTTTTTCACCATGGTTTCTGTCATCTAAGCCTATGTCATCTCTCACCTGAACCTTTCTTTTGGGGACACTTCACTCCTTTTTTCTCCTCTAAACCCCAGCTTCTCAACTCTCCAGCATCTTTCTAAAGCATGGATCTGCCTAATGATCCCCATCAGGAAAAGTCAAGCTGTATGGAGGCAGCATTTGGGACTCTCAGTGGCCTGGTCCGAGTCAGTTGCCAACCTCACCCCTCTGCCTCCCACTATTGACTTGAATGATCAACTCCAGCCACACTCTCCTGGCACTGCCTTCATTATCTTTTCTGAACTCTTCCATCTCTAGGATTTTGCTCACACTATTCTATCTCCAAGTGTAGAAATTTAATAAATCAACTTTCAAGGATTACCACAAATGCTGTCACCTCCAAGAAAACTTCCAGTCTTAACTCCTCCAGGAAAGAAGTCTCCCTTCACCATTAACAGCTAGTGCCAAGACCTGTCTTGTTTGCAGTATTTCCTCATCTATTTGCCTTCACTGGGCCATGTGTGCCCTGAAGCTCATGACTAGACCTTGGCCATCTTTGTGTCCCTGTATCTGGTATAAAATAGATACTCAAAGGTTTCCTTTGGATTGATTCTGGCACCGTGTGAATTACAGTTGAATGGCTCAAATATCTAGCCCCTCTCCTCCAGGGCAGGATTATCAAAGAATGCCGGAATATCTGTAGCAAACCAGTCAGTATCTACTTGCAGGGGTAGCAAGAAGAAGACAAAGCAGATAAATGGATGTTGGACTTGGAGTTCTTGCCCTTTGTAGAACCTGCACTGTTAGGATGGCCTGAGGGCTCTGAAATACTGGTGGGAGGAAAAGCAAAAAAGTGGGCAAATCTGAAGGAGCTGCCAAAGGTGGAATTGAGCTGATGCTGCTCCCAAAACACCCACCTTTTGGCAGCATTATTCTTCCCAGAAGGGAAAGAGGTAGGCTTGGGCTCAGAAACTCTACCTTCCAGTCCTTTTTTGTCCCTTGGGTAACGACCTTGGGAAAATCTCTTGGCTCCTCTGAGTGTTGGGGTTCATTAGGGCTCCCTCATGGTTTTATTGAAAGGGTGGTCCTTAAAAACTTCGACTGGGTCGGGTGCGGTGGCTCATGCCTGTAATCCCAGCACTTTGGGAAGTCGAGGCAGGTGGATCGTCTGAGGTCAGGAGTTCGAGACCAGCCTGGCCAACATGATGAAACCCCGTTTCTATTAAAAATGTAAAAAATTAGCCGGGCATCGTGGTGTGCACCTGTAATCCCAGCTACTCGGCAGGCTGAGGCAGGAGAATCACTTGTACCCAGGAGGCAGAGGTTGCAGTGAGCCAAGATTGTGCCATTGTACTTCAGCTTGGGCAAAAAGAGTGAAACTCTGCCTCAAAAAAAAAAAAAAAAAAAAAAAAAAAAGGAAAACTTGGACCGCAACTTTAAGCCATGGAGAAACAATGAAAACATTTGAGATAGAAAATGAGTTTGATGAGTTGGTAGTAGGAGGGTCAGACAATTTCAGGGGATGTTTACCTAAGAAAAGTAAAAACATATGCTCACAAAAGATGTGTAAAAGAGTATTTTCAGCAGCTTTATTCACAGTAGCATGAAACTGGAAACAAGCCAAATGTCCATCAGCAGGAGCATGGACAAACCAACTCAGGATACAGTATCTTCATACCATGGAATACTGCTCAGCAGTGAAAAAGAAGAAACTACCGAGATAGAAAACAACGTGGATCAAACTCGAAAAACATGTTGAGTGAAAGAAGCCAAACCAAAACGAAGAAAAGAATATTGCATGATTCCATTTATATAAAATTGAGGTCAAACAAGTTGAGGCTTTGGTGAGAGGTACTGGAACAATAATTACTTATGGGGTGGGGTGGGGATTGACTGGAAGAAGAGGCATGAGAGAATGTTCTGGGCTGATGATAATATTCTAATTCTTGATTGAGCTATTTACTTCATGAGTGTTTGTGTTTGTCAGAACTCATCTAATTATATATTTAAGACTGTGCAGTTTAGTTGTCCATTAAAATAGCTCTTGAGAAAAGTTAAGATTAATTTTATTTTTAAATTTAATATAATTTTAATTAATTAATTAGCCTGTTGCCCAGGCTAGAGTACAGTGGCGTGATCTCGGCTCGCTGCAACCTCTGCCTCCCAGGTTCAAGCGATTCTCCTGCCTCAGCCTCCCAAGTAGCTGGGATTACAGGCACCGGCCACCATACCCAGCTAATTTTTTGTATTTTTAGTAGAGATGGGGCTATATCACTTGGCTAGGCTGGTCTCAAACGCCTGACCTCAGGAGATTCACCTCCCTCAGCCTCCCAAAGTGCTGAGATTACAGGTGTGAGCCACTGTGCCTGGCCTAATTTTTATTTTTAGAGACAGGGTCTTGCTTTGTTGCCCAGGAGTGAGTGCAGTGGCACAATTTTGGCTCACTGCAGCCTCGACCTCCTGGGCTCAAGTGATCCTCCCACCTCAGCCTCCTGAGTATTTGGGACTACAGGCACACGCCACCATGTTTGGCTAACAAATTCATTTTAGACCAGACTTGTAAGTAAGCTTGTGGCATTGGGAATTGGTGAACTTGACAGTCAATGTCAGGCAACAGCAAAGCAACTTATCTGCAACCTAGGTTTCTAAGAGAAGAAGATATTTGGAATAAGCTATAAAAGAGTAGAAACCCACCAGATGGACCAAGGTGTAGAATTTACTTCAGGAAGAAGAGAAGGAAGATCATAGGCTACAGGTTGGAAAGAGAGGCATCTGAACCTTGCAGATGAGGTGATGTAACAGGAAAGAGAGTCTGTGAAGGGGCAGGGGATAAGGCTACAAAGGCAGCGTGGGTGACCACAGGGATAGCTTAAGTGGCCAGGAGATGGTGGTCCCTCACTGTACAAGGCAGAGGGATATGCAGGCCTGGATCTCAGAAGAGAAGCCTGGAGACAGAGTTTGGGGAGAGTGGCCAGCATAGAGGAGGTAGTGAAAACATCTGGGAATGGACAAGCTAACCCAGAAAATTAGAAAAACATGTAGTATATGTGGTATAAAAATGAATCATCTCTCAATCTTACCAGCAAGAATAAAGTAGTGATGGCTGGGCCTGGAGGCTCACCAACACTTTGGGAGGCCAAGGCAGGTGGATCACCTGAGGTCAGGAGTTTGAGACCAGCCTGGACAATATGGTGAAACCCCGTCTCTACTAAAAATACACAAATTAGCCTGGCATGGTGGCAGGTGCCTGTAATCCCAGCTGCTAGGGGAGCTGAGGCAGGAGAATTGCTTGAACCCGGGAGGTGGAGGTTGCAGTGAGCCAAGATTGTGCCACGGCACTCCAGCCTGGGTGACAGAGCAAGACTCCGTCAAAAAAAAAAAAAAAAAAGAATAAAGTAGTGACTTGACCTGTCAGCTTGGCTAGACTTTGACTTGGGTTCAGCTGCTGAAGATGAACATGAAGCTGGTTTCATATACAGAAGAATGGAAAGAAAGATCATTCTTTCTTCCTTGACGTGTCCAGGGAAAGCAAACCTGGTAGCCTCTCTCTCTGAGCTATACAATGTTGCCCTTGTTCAAGGTTTCTCCAGTGACAGAATCCCATACACTGTCTTGTTCAGACCAAATGGAAATGAAGCCATTCCTCAGCTTATGAAAAAAGAAGTCCCAGAAAAGGAATTACAGCCTGTGATGAACAGACTTTGTGCTGTTTTATGTCTCCTGATGACTATTACCTAACTTCTGTATGCCTCACTTTCTTCATTTGTAGAAAGGGGTTACTACTGCCATAGGATTATTATGAGGAGTCAATGAAAGATATTTAGAAAAGACCCAGAATGGTCCTTGGTACATAATAAGTGCTATACAAATGTTTTTCAATTAAATTTATTTGTTAAATGAAAGGTAGAGTTCTCAATGGAAAGAGCTATAAAAAAGAACTTGCCAAGAGTTCCAGTGGTTCACTGGTAGAAAATCAACTCCCAAGGAAGATCAAATTAATTGTCTTACTCAATTTGTATTTTGGAATAGTTTTAGATTTATGTAAAAGTTGCAAAGAAACTGAGAATTCCTCACCAAAATGATTTTTGGAATGTGTACCCAGTACTAACCATGTGCAAAATAGTAAACTAAGCTGAGTGCAAGGGTCCGGGGAAATAAGGAGAACCATAGAGTAATAACTCATCTAATCCTTCCTACCTGTTGATTGTGGGGGAAAAGAAGAGTTTACGTTCATGTATTTGTTTGCTGTTAAGAGCCTGCTAGTTAGCACTGTGATAGGAACTGAGGATATAGTGGACAAATTCCTCCATCTGCCGAAGAATGTTCCTGTAACTATGCCAGGCACTAGGAATGCAACAGTGAAGGTTACTGTCCATATAGGTCATCGTTATAAAAGCAGAAAGAGAGAAAGATGGATGTCAAGCACTATGTGAGCTTCAAGGAAGAGGGATCAGGTCCATTTGGGAAGAGGCTTCATGGATAAGACAACTTTTGAAAGATGGAAAGATGGGTAATTGGGGAGTCTTATCCCCTTATAATAAGGGCTTCTGAAGAAGATGGGTAGACTCTAAAAGAGCTGAGACACTGGCCAGGTGCAGTGGCTCATGCCTGTAATCCCAGCATTTTGGGAGGCTCAGGTGGCCGGGTCATGAGGTCAGGAGTTCGAGACCAACCTGGACAACATGGTGAAACCCTGTCTCTACTAAAGATACAAAAAATTAGCTGGGCGTGATGATATACACCTGTAGTCCCAGCTACTCGGGAGACTGAGGCAGGAGAATCACTTGAACCCGGGAGGTGGAGGTTGCAGTGAGCTGAGATCGCGCCATTGCACTCCAGCCTGGGTGACAGGGCGAGACTCCATCTCAAAAAAAAAAAAAAATAATAATAATGACTTGACCTATCAGCTTGGCTAGACTTCGACGGGTTCAGCAGCTGAAGATGAACATGAAGCTGGTTGGATGGCACACACACACAAAAAAGAGTTTTGATATTAAACCTGCAACTTTGGTGACATTGTGCCATTGACTGGAGAGCAAAGGGATGAAATAAACTTATTTCTTAGCAACTGCATTCTAGAAAGAGAGACAAGAAAATATGAGAGAGAGAATTAGGGCAGGAGAAGAAGAGAGAGGGGAGAAGAAAATTAAGTTCTGTTTTCCGCTTAGGTAGGAGCAGTGTCTGAAGGATTTCTAGAAGCCTGGATTAGGCTTCAAACATTTAATGACTCAAATCACCCATGCTTGCTGATTTCCAAGTTCTTCCTGAAAGAACATAGGCACTTGTTCCTTAAAACAACCCAAAGAATGTTGCAATATACTCAAATCAGAAACCACGTTATTTTTAGTTACTTTCTCCTCTTCCTCCTGTGAGTGACTTCTTGTATCAGATGAAGGCAGCACATAACCTGTGTGGCCTGCTGACCTTGTATCCCTGGAGAAGGTGGTTACCTGTTACCCAGGAGATGGGTGGGCTCTTCTTTTCTGTGACTTTCATCCCCCAACCCAACCCCCATTCTTACCTACTCTTGTTAACTCAGGCTCAGATACTATGAGCTTTTAGAGGACAAAGAACTTGTTGCTCACCTCTGCATCCCAGCATAGGCCTGACACACAGTAGATATTCAATTATTCATAAATAACTTACTAGAATAGTGGTGGAAGCTTCAATTATGCCAGAATTGTTGTGGTGAGATCCTCAGATGCATTGCTTCTACAAATACTTTCAAGAACAAGTTATTCTAAGGTAGTTTCACCATGAAAACAAAGACCCAGTGGACCTTCTGGGTCCCATCCAGTTCACTGAAATTTCTCAGCCCAGTTATGCTCACTATACATAGAACTAAATTCATAATCTTTAACCCGTTTCCCTAAACCAGTGCCTGTTTTTTTTTTAAATGGCATCACCTTGTTCAGACACCCACATTAGAAAACCGAGCAAGATTCTCAACTTTTCTGCTCTTTCACTCCCTGTATGAACTGGTTACCGACTCTGAATGCTGCTACCTCAGTATTTCTCTGAAACACGTAATCCTTCATCATTCTGCTCTGAATTGTTCTCATGTCTCCCGTTGAGCCTCTGATTCTAATCTTCCAGCTCTGATCTGTTCCTCAACATGGTCCTGCTAATATGCAGAATTGACCATGTGTCTCTCTGGTTAAAACCCCTCTGGGAGTATCTTTGCTTTCATCCAAGTCCAGAATTGAGAATCTGCATGCTTCTTAACACAACTCATACACTTCTCCATAGTGCTCCACCCATCTCCCCCATCCTCCAATCTCCTGTCTGTCATAACGAGTGTCTTTATGTTTCCTAAAAACACCTGCCTCTTCCTCATCTATGCAGGTTGTGTCTTCTCAAAGCTCTGGGGAGGAGGCAGCTTAGTGAGATTTGGCACAGCAGCTTATTCTGCTAGTTCCACCACTGTTGCTATAACTGACCCCAAAAAGCCCAAACTCAATGAATCTACTGCTCGCTTTGTTGAAATACCATGGAGGTCAATTCAGGCAGTGTGAACTCCGTGAGTTTTGTTTAATTACTGGTATGTTTTGGCTGTGTCCCCCGTCAAATCTCATCTTGAATTGTAGCTCCCATAATTCCCACAAGTCGTGGAAGGGACCTGGTGGGAGGTAATTGAATCATGGTGGTGGGTTTTTCCCATACTGTTCTCATGATAGTGAATCAATGGTTTTAAAAAGGGCAGTTCCCTGCACATGCTGTCTTGCCTGCTGCCATATAAGTCGTGCCTTTGCTCTTCCTTTGCAGTCTGCCATGATGGTGAGGCCTCTGCAACCATGCTGAACTGTGAGTCATTTAAACCTCTTTCCTTTATAAATGACCTAGTCTCGGGTATGTCTTCATTAGCAGCGTGAGAACGGACTAATACAATTACATTGCCCACATATACCTAGCTCCTTAAATTCTCATTTGAACTGGTTTTAATGTCTTATTAATTGAAGAGTTGATTAAAATCTTTGATACTTGTTTGTGTGTGTGTGTGTGTGTGTTTTGTTTTTAATATAAATAGAAAAGTCATGTTTTGTTTTGTTTTGCTTCTTAAAGCAGAGATGGGGTTTCACTATGTTACCCCAGCTGGTCTTGAATTCTTGGAGTCAAGGGATCCACCAGCCTTAGCTTCCCAGAGTGCTGAAATTACAGGAGTGAGCCACTGTGTGTCCTGCCTGCCTTCTGTTTTTTTTTTTCTTTTTAGAAAAGTCATGTTTCTAATCCTCCAAAAATTATATTTTAATGACAGTCTTTAATAACAATTATCCTTTTAATGACATATATACTCCTAAAAGTAGGAGTGACCTGTCGTTTCAGATTTTTCAAGCTTAGCCTAGTCTTGTGTCTTCCCCTGGGTAGAAACAATTTATCTGCCTCATCATGGGCCACTCCTATCTCATAAGTTATTATCTTTATTCCCATAGCACTTTGAATTTAACCTATTTATAACACGATTGAATTGCATTCTGGGTATTTATATTTGGGCCCTGACCCCATCCCTGTGAGAAGACTGTAAACCT
Organism: Homo sapiens; assembly: GCF_000001405.40. NCBI lineage: Eukaryota > Metazoa > Chordata > Mammalia > Primates > Hominidae > Homo > Homo sapiens. The sequence goes on from NC_000009.12 coordinate 107,843,507, forward strand.
TTTGAGGACAAGAACTATACCTTTCTTTCATCATTATATCCCCTCAAGTTTCTATAGACCCCAGTGGTGCAGACTTTAGAATTAATGAATGGATGGATGAATGAATGAACAAATGAATTGGGCAAGAAATACAAAGATGAATAAAATGGGTTTTCTTGGTGGAGAGACAAATATATGCTGTCATTCCTTTTGCCTGGTGTCCAGAAAAGCCTTCTGGATCCATTGTTATATATGCATGCATTTTCCTTTTTATGAGGATGGCTGTTTGATGATTGACATTGTTTAAATAACTGCAACTAATCAGTTCTGCCCATGGGATTTGGAAACCCTGAAGTATGTTCTTTGGAATAGGATACAGCATTATTTTAAATACTGTGCAGGTCAAGTATTATTACTAACATATCTCATAAGAAACCAGATGTTGCCAAGGTTTAGTTCACTTAATTCAAGTAATATTCAACATAAAATTGTATTTCGGCCAATAGTTTTGAATAGAGTTTTAGAATTTGTTGTAATGCGATTAACTCATTATATTAATTATTACCTTGATTCTCAGGAAACTCCTTCTGTGTTCCCAACTGGGGATGGGGACTTCTCACTTTGCTCCCAGCTTCTGTCTCCCTTTATCCAGGCAAACAGTCTGTGTCATTATGCCTCCCCATATGCCTCCTGTGTGGGAGTTGTCTGGTAGCAGAAACCATGCCAGACTCATCGAAGATCCCTATCACCCAACACAGGGTCCGACACTATGTGGGTTTTCACTGAAGGCTTCCTGCATGAAGGGGAGGAGAGCAGAGATCATGGGCTCTGGGTCAGACCTCAGTCTGTTAAAGAATTATTTCCAAACAAGGAGAACATCGTGACTTTCTTTTTTCTTCTTCTTTTTATTTAAAAATACAGATGGGGACTCATTATGTTGCCCATACTGATCTCAAACTCCTGGCCTCAAGCAATCCTCTCACCTCAGCCTCCCAAAGTGCTGGGATTACAGGTGTGAGCTACAATTCTTGGCCTAACATCATGATTTTCACACAGGTAGAAATTAAACGCATGTTAAATATTTTATTTAACTTATTAATTAGAGAATGAGGCAGGTATTATAACCAGTTCAAAGGAGAATCTGAAGAACTAGCACATGTATACATGAGGAATATTGAAATGAATATGCAAATGAAAACAAAACTAGTTTCCTTTACAGTGGAAGAGGAATCAATGGAAACCTTTGTGGATAAAACAGAATTTACATGTCCCTAAACAAGAATTATTTTGCATCTCTATCAGTTATCTACAATTTCCAGAGTTGTAAAATAGCTCCCTTGGAATCAGAATCAGGCAACTTAGAAGGTGTTCTCTAGACAATATAGAGTTTCCCGTTAAAGCACAGAATTCCCCTTTCAGTTCAAATCTCACTTGAGCTCACCTGAGGGAAGGGCATCTGGGTAGAGATAACAGCACCAGGAAAGGCCTGGAGGCATGAAGCTTCTGTAAGGGGAGGAAAGTTGCTAGAAGAGTGAGAGGTAGGCAGTAGTCAGAACATATTAATAACCCAGGAAGACCAGGATAAAGATTTTTATTTTTTATTATTTTTTTATTTTTTTGAGACAGGGTCTCGCTCTTTTGCCCAGCCTGAAGTGCACTGGTGTGATCACCACTCATTGCAGCCTCCATCTTCTGGGCTCAAGCGATCTCCCAACCTTAGCCTCCCAAGTAGCTGGGACTACAGGCATGCACCTCCATGCCCAGGTAACTTGTTGATTTTTTGTAGAGGCAAGGTCTTCCCAAGTTGCCCAGACTGGTCTTGAACTCCTGAACTCAAGTGATCCTCCTGCCTTGGCCTCCCAGAGTGTTGGATTTACAGGCATGAGCCACTACGCTCAGCCAAGATAAGGAATTTAAATTTAATCCAAACTTTTAAAATCACACAACTCTAACAAAATATATATTTGGAGCACCTCATCCCCATTTGTGCATATTTGTTAATAAGTTATGCATACGTATTGTGGTATTGTGATACCAGAATAACTCTAATAGCACAAACTCAGATATTTAACAGCTGTGTGACCACAGGCAAATTACTTAACATAGCCATGCCTCAGTTTCTCCACCTTTTTTTTTTTTTTTTTTTTTTTTTTTAAAGAGATGGGAGTCTCATTATGTTGCCCAGGCTGGAGTTCAGTGGCTATCCACAGGTGCAATCATGGAAAACTATAGCCTCGAACTTCTGGGCTCAAGCAATCCTTCTGCCTTAGCTTCGTAAGTAGCTGGGACTACTTTGCCCAGTTTCAGTTTCCCCATCTTTAAAATGGAGGTGAGGCTGGGTGTGGTTGATCATGACCGTAATCCCAGCACTTTGGGATGCTGAGGCTGGAGGCTTGCTTGAGCCCAAGAGTGTTGCTTGAGACCAGCCTGGGCAACACAGTGGGACCCCATCTCTACAAAAACAAACAAACAAAAACGATACAATACAATGCGATACAATACAATACAACACAACACAATGGAGATGATAACGTAAGGTTGTCTTTCTGTATTCAATGGATCAGGTTGACCACCCCACATGGTATGTGTACTCCATTTCAGAAATTATAAATGAGAGGCTTGATAAACTCTGTGGATTGTAGAGATGAAGAGTTTGGGATAAGAGAAGGGGTAAAGGCAATGAGATCAGAGAAGAGGCAGTATTGCAGCACAGGACAGAGATGAAGGGGGCTTGAGCTAGGGCACCCACGGGGAGTTGTGAGTGGGGCTCACTGAAGGTAAGATTGGGTGTCTTTGGTAACTTTCAGACAAGGACTTGCAGAGAAAGGCAGAATGAAGACATGGAGAAGATTCTTTGTGTGGGAGGCAGATGATGCCTAGAACGAGCTTCAGAGTTGGGAAGAGAGGCAGAGAGGTGCCAGAAAAAGGCAACAATAAGAGGCTCGCTGGACAGTGGGCTCATGTCCTATTGTCCCCTCTGCTTTGGGAGACACTAGTGGCTCATGCCTGCATTGGTATTTACGACTGAGACTACAACGGGCTATGGTGTTACCCATGATTCATAGGCCCACTATTCTGTACAGATACAGTGCTTGTTACTTTACAGACAGTGTTTACTTCATTTAGTTTTCCCAATAAACTTGTAGGAATGACTACCATCCCCATTTTACAGATGTAGAAACTGAGACTTACAGAGGTTAAGAGGCTTGAGCTGTGAAATGACATGCTCAGTATAAAGCACCCTGCTATATAATCCCAAAGAGTGTGTGCTCGTTTTCTCCTGCACCTTGTTGTTTCCCAGCTGAAACCTAGAAATCTAGAAAATTGCATTCCCTTTGCGCTGGTTACCTCACTTCTCTCTGCTTGGTAATTCTCGATGTCCTTACAAGGAGGAGGCTCCTCCTGACCTCTGAGGTGGCCACCTGAAGAGCAGGATATGTCAGCACCTGCTTGCTGGGAAGCACCACCCAGTGTATCCCATTCCTTACCCCAGGAGGCAGACAAGGATGGGGAGAGGCCTGGTTGAGAAGAGAAAGCTTCATGTGGTTCAAGAAAAATACCAAGTATCTTCTTTTTTTTTTTTTTTTTTTAAGACGGAGTCTTGCTCTGTCGCCAGGCTGCCAGGCTGGAGTACAGTGGCGCAACCTCTCCTGCGTTCAAGTGATTCCCGTGCCTCAGCCTCCCAAGTAGCTGGGACTACAGGCGTGTGCTACCCTGCTTGGCTGATTTTTTGTACTTTTTTTTTTTTTAGCAGAGACAGGGTTTCACCATGTTGGCCAGGGTGGTCTTGATCTCCTGACCTAGTGATCCACCCACCTCAGCCTCCCGAAGTGTTGGGATTACAGGCGTGAGCCACCATGCCTGGCCCCCAAATAACCTCTTAAGAGTTACAGACTGCACAGGTTACTGGCTGAATAAGTTGGGGGAGGCTGGTAGGGAACCTAATCTTTTAAGATTTAATCCACAGGAAAACAAAGGGAGACCCTCCAGAAATCAGAGGCCATTGCTAAGGGGGAGAATCGGTTGCCTTCAGGCACCTTCACCCCAAATGGCTTGTGTGTGTCTTTGATGTCCTGCCCTCTACTGCACCTCCATTTATTGTAAAGTGTTACTACTTTCAAAGAATTGGAGAAAGTCTACAATAAGATAGATAAGTTACAGGTGACTATTGTAGGTAACTTAAAAATGTGCTTTACAATTTTAAACTCTTCATGCAGACCTAAAAGGATTAAAAGGTGAATGACGCCAGGTACGGTGGCTCACACCTGTAATCCTAGCCCTTTGGGAAGCTGAGGTGGGAGGCTCACTTGAGCCCAAGAGTTAAAGACAAGATCAGCCTGGGCAACACAGCGAGACCCCATCTCTATTAAAAAAAGAAAGAAAGGTGAATGAGGATAATCCCTGGAACTCGCTTTAATGAAGGAATCAAAATTATTTATAAAGTGAACATGTACCTTTCTATGCTCTCAACGGTTTGCAGTTTCTCAGCTATTCTGAATAATCATGTGAAAAGCCTGCATAAATGGTGCTTCTAAAATGCTTAAGCCCTTTCTTATCTGAAAGCTTTGCTTAAACTTCTTTGTGAAAGGCACTGTAGGTTTGTTGAATGAATGAAGGAATGACAAAGAGAGTTTTTTATTTTTCTTCAGTACCAAAGGCCAGTTTAAGCCAAGCCCTTGACTGAGTCATCACAAATTCCTGAATTCACACATAAAAATGAACTCTTACCATAGATGATGTGTTTGCCAGGACAGGATTAGAATTACTTTTTTGAAAATATTTTATTTAAACATGGGAGGTGCATTTAGAGTTGTGCCTGTACATTAAGTTATATTCTCCATTATAATTGTGTTGACAGTTGTAACAATTACTCACATTCACTGGGCTCTGCAGAGTTTAAAACTCTTTGACACTGAAATGTCAAAGAAGTGAGGATACTGAAGTTCAGAGATGTTTCAGCTTGCCCAGAGGTTCACCAGCGTTTGTTCATAGATTAACAAGCAGAGGTTAGCCCGTATACGATAGCAGGGGTGGCTTCTCTTTAAAAGGAGATATTGTTCTTTCTGTTCTCTAAAGAGGCAATGCAAGCTGGTTGAATGTTGCAGAGAAATCAGCTTCCCAATTCAGGAGAAATGGGAGCAGGGCAGGCCTCATGCAAGATGCAGCTTTCGAATACTTGAATTTTTTTAGAGTTCTCCTCCTCCTCTGGGTTGGGCACGTAGCATTCTAGCAAATTCAAAATGTTTTAATTTCAGACTAACCATTCATCTGAAGCAGAACAAAAAAAAAAAGAAAAGAAAAAAAACACATAAAAAAAGCAACTAAATCCGAGTGTTGCAAACTCTTTTAGCAAATAGTTGTGAAATAGCATTGACTTTGCCAGTTCCTGTTTTCATTTTCCATAAATCTATTCTGGTATAATTTTATTCCCTTGAAGTAGATGTAGCAAGTTCTTCATGATACTAAATAAAACAACAAGATAATCAGTTAAAAAGCCCACTATATATTAAATAACAGCAACAACTAAACTCTGGCCCCAAGTTAAACTTAGAAAAATTACTTTTTTGGGGGAAAATTCAAAAGTTTTAGAGAAGCTGTAAGACTACTTAAAAGTGTCCTCAAACCAATGTTAAAACATTTGTAGGCTGGGCGCAGTGGCTCACACCTGTAATCCCAGCACTTTGGGAGGCCGAGGTGGGCGGATCACTTGAGGTCAGGAGTTTGAGACCAGCCTGGCCAACATGGCAAAACCCTGTTTCTACTAAAAATACAAAAAGTAGCTGGGCATGGTGGCGGGCACCTGTAATCCCAGCTACTTGGGAGCCTGAGGCAGGAGAATCACTTGAACCTGGGAGGGGGAGGTTGCAGTGAGCCAAGATCATGCCACTGCACTCCAGCCTGGGCAACAGAGTGAGACTCAGTCTCAAAACAAACAAAAACAAAAAACAACATCAGTAGTGAGTGACTAAACATAGGAACTATACTTTTTTTTTTTTTTTTTGAGACCAACTCTCGCTGTGTCACCCAGGCTGGAGTGCAGTGGCGCCATCTCGGCTCACTGCAACCTCCGCCTCCTGGGCTCAAGTGATTCTCTTGCCTCAGCCTCCGAGTAGCTGGAATTACAGGCATGTGCCGCCACCAAGCCCAGCTAGGAAATGTTTCGCCATGTTGCCTAGGCTGTCTCAAACACCTGGGCGCAGGTGATCACCTGCCTTGGCCTCCCAAAGTGCTGGGATTACAGGCATGAGCTACCACGCCTGGCCAGGAACTATAAATTGAATCAGCTCAGGAGAACCATAAAGATTCTAGTGTCTTCAAGTTTCTGTAGCACTTATGATGGGGGTGGAAAACAGCATTTGGGGGCTGGTAGGCGCCTGTGGCTTCAGGAAGATCCTTGCTCAGTTGACCCCTACCCAGATGCATGACAGTTGGGTCACTGAATCTTTGCAGCCTCAGCTATGAGGGGAGAAGGATGACTGATGTCAAAGGGTTGTTGAGAAGTACTGAGAGTTGGGAGTCATCTCCACCCAGTGGGAGCTTAACATGGAGTTGCTGCCATTGTTGTGAAAATGAAAGACAGAAAGGATGAAAAAAAGAAACTAAAGCTTTGCTTTTGTGCAGGAGTGTCCAATTGTTTGGCTTCCCTGGACCACATTGGAATAAGAGTTGTCTTGGTCCACACACAAAAAAAGCACTAACACTACTCATAGCTGATGAGCTAAAAACAACAACAACAAAAAATCACAAAAACATCTCATAATATTTTAAGAGTTTACAAATTTGTGTTGGGCTGCATGTGTGGCCCGTGGGCCATGGGTTGGACAAGCTTGCTTTTGTGAGTGAGGCTTGAAGTAGGAGAGCTTAAGAAAATATGAGGGAAGTCCTATCAGAAGCAAGTTATGTAAGCGGAATATCCCGTTATCCAAGTGAGGCTTTTTGGATAAAAATCTGACACCAAAATTCTTTCCGTGTGCTCCTAATAGCACCCTGAGTGGAACAAATGGAAGGCGTTTACATTTCACCAACTCCCCTCATCATCTTTTGATGGGGCAGTCAGGCCACATTAGAACCAACTCCAGGCAGCTCATGCTGGAGTGCTCCAATTTGTAGCGTCTTCCTGTCTGCTGCTTCCCTATTGCAGGCCCACCTGGTCAGCTCTGCCCACTCCTCTTTTGGTCCCTTTTTGAGTGGAAAGCCGCCTGGTCATGGCCGCTCTGTGGGGGAAAGCACTTGCAGTCCTTCTGTTGTGTTCCTGGCTGTCATGTGGGTTTTGCAGTGTTGATGAAATGAGAAGCAGGGATCCAAATATCACCCTGAGGTCATTTGCCCTATTCTCATTGCTACTCGGGCAATAAGAGTAGGTTGGGCAAACATATAATGGCAATAAAAGACAGTGTGGCCTAAAACATTGTGTCTCTGATGCAGAGCCCTCAGCAGTCCTAGAGAACAAACTCTCAGAGCCGGCCATGATCACAAAATAAAAATCATGTCCTTTTGATCCTTCTCATAAGGCCAGATCCTGTCGCTATGCTTGCTCATGGCATCCCAAGCATCACATTCATCTCCGTGTAGTTCCTCAGTCTGTTTGGTGGGTCCCACCCTTAGCCTGACTCTTACCCCCAGGCTATTTGCTCCATGAGGAAGGTCCTGTGTGGCTCCTATGCACTGTGATATCCAGTGGATAACACCGAATCTAGCACCAGTTGGTGCTCAGCATACATTCCTAGGATGAATGACTTGAAATGAATGTTGTATTCTAGTTTACAGCTTTTTGGCCCAGGACGTTCGGTCCTCAATAACCTTTGAAAGCCTCCATTAAGTTCTTCCTAACAGACAATAAAAGCTTGCATCATAAAAGGTTTAGTTTTTGGTTTAGTCCACTTGTGAAGATAGAGCACACACAGGAGGACTGGGGGGTCCCTAAAAATCTAGTTCATCTCCTTGGCATTACAGATGAAGACAGGGACACTCAGAAAGGGGCAAGAACTTAAATAAGTGCAAGAAGGTGACATAATCACCACTGGACTCTTAACAGCCTGTGTATTTAACAGGTGCTCCTAATAACTCAGGGACACTATGGTATAGTGGTTAAGAGAGTGGGTTTTAGGTACCAGACCACCAGGTTGAAATCCTGGCTTGGCTACTTATTAGTGTTAAAAGAGAAACTAGACAAATTTAACAGGGTTTAATTGAGCAAAGAATGATTTGCACTTAATCCATGCTTAACATTGGATTTATATCCTCTTAAATACCAACTTTGTTTCTTCAATTCAGGTACATAGCATTGCTTATTAAATGGGTTATCATAGGTAATTTGCCTTGGACTGTGGAGCTCATTCAAATTGCATATCTTAATAATTTTGGTACTGGCTGCTTTAACATGAAAATCTGGCAAAGTATTTCTTTGGCATTTAATTAATATCTTGCTTGAGTTAGCAGTTTTATAAACCAGTCAATCTTTTCATTAGAGTTCTGGGAATTCTTTCTTTGTCCAAATGATCCTAAAGTAATCAGAAATCTGTATTTAAGAGTTTTTGTCAGCGTCCTTTCCATCCTTTCCAGGAGCCGACCTGCTTAAAGATACAATACTTTAGAATTTTACTTGCTTGTGAAGAGCTTTCAGAAAATGCGTAAGCATTAAGCAATTAACTGTGGACAAGACTTAAAATGGTCGTGGTTAAAGATGCAATTGACAAGAAAATTTGCTTATTTGTGTGGCTTACAATAATTTAACATAATAAGCACAATTATGACTGATAATATATCAGAATTTTATTTTATTTGAGACAAACTCTGTCACCCAGGCTGGAGTGCAGTGGTGCAATCTCAGCTCACTGCAACCTCCGCCTCTCAGGTTCAAGCAATTCTCCTGCCTCAGCCTCCTGAGTTGCTGGGACTACAGGCACGTGACACCATGCCCAGCTAATTTTTTTGTATTTTTAGTAGAGACGGGGTTTCACCATGTTGGCCAGGACGGTCTCTATCTCCTGACCTCGTGATCTGCCCACCTCGGCCTTCCAAAGTGCTGAGATTACAGGTGTGAGCCACCACACCTGGCCATTAAAAGGTTTTAAAAAGCAAAAACGTTTATTCTTTGATGGAGAGGAGGGTCAGTTTTCCAAATAATCAAAAGACCTAATAAAGACAGCATGAAACACAATCTGTCTCTCCTTCTCTTCCCTGTTTTTTTTTTTTTTTTTGCAGTTTACTTAAAGGGTGAAGAATATTTCTTTTGCTCTCTCGCATATTAATACTTCACAAACTCCTTCTTCAAAGAAGAAAATCAAATTTTACTTTTGTATTAGTGTATTATCAATACTAAAATTAATTTTAAGAAAGTTTTATAAACAGAGGGTGGGTATGGTGTCTCACACTTGTAATCCCAGCACTTTGGGAGGCTGAGGCAGGAGGATCACTTGAGGCCAAGAGTTTGAGACCAGTCTGGGTAATGTAGCAAGACCCTTATGTCTACAAAAATAATAATGATAAAAAAATAATTAAAATAAATTAGCCAGGAGTGGTGGCATACACCTGTAGTTCTAGGTACTCAGGAGGTTGCAGCAGGAAAATCCCTCAAGCCCAGGAGTTGGAGGCAGCAGTGAGCTAAGGTTACACCACTGCATTCCAGCCTGGGTGACAGAGCAAGATCCCATCTCTTAAAAAAAAACAAAAAAAAACCCTCATAAACAAATACATCTAATCTCAGCCAGCTTTTGAACACAAAAATAAGATTTCCATACAATGGATACCTTGTATTTTATAAAATAATCTCTTTTAACCTCTTACATAATATCTTACAATCTTATAAGATTATAATCTCTTGTATAATTCTTTTTATCTTCTTTCCCCAACATTTATATTCATTTAGTTTTATCTATAGCATATTTTCCTTCATTTTGAAACAACTTTTACATAACCTCAAAAAGAGACAAAATTACTTTTTGTTTGACAACATACTCATCCTCATGTCTTTTTTATAACGTTCTTCACCAAAAAACACCCATCTCACTTTATTTATTTATTTGAATTACAATGTGACTTTTCATACTTTGGAGTGAGCCCCACAGGAATAAAAAACACTGGGAAGGGAAGACCACTTGACCCTGAGGAGTGGCCCGGGGGGAGAGAGGCTACCTCAGGGGAAGGAAGCACAAAAGAGATGCCCTGCAGGCTCAGGGCAAAGGGAATGCCATCGGTGCTGGTACCTGTGAGCACTACAGGAGGAAATGTGAGTACGGTTGGACTGGCTTCAGGCACACTGGCAAACGGCAAGAGGGCTGGACACAAAGCCACAAATCTACTTGGGTCCTCCTTCTCCTTTTTTATTTTTATTTTTGAGATGGAATCTCGCCCTGTTCCCCAGGCTGGAATGCAGTGGCATGATGTCAGCTCACTGCAACCTCCACCTCCTGGGTTCCAGTGATTCCCCTGCCTCAGCCTCCGAAGTAGCTGGGATTACAGGCGTGTGCCACCATACCTGGCTAATTTTTTTTTGTATTTTTAGTAGAGATGAGGTTTTGCCATGTTGGCCAGGCTGGTCTTGAACTCCTGACCTCAGGTAATCCACTTGCCTCGCCCTCCCAAAGTGCTGGGATTACAGGCGTGAGCCACCATGCCCGGCCTGGGTTCTCCTTCTCATTTGCCTTTTTCTGCTTCTGCTGAATGGTCTCCAAGTCCCTCTGCTTGCAGGAGGCAACAGAAAGCCCATCATCTTGGTGCTTTCCCCTTAACCAAGTCACTCTGCTTTTTCATATTCTTCTGGTGGGCAAGTTCACCACAGTCATGGCTACGGCAGGGCAGCAGCTCTTACCTGCCTCTGTTGTGTCCCTCTTTCTGTCCGTATCTCACTTAATATGCTCCGTATACCGAATTGTTTCTTTTTTATCTCGTACTTTTAACTACAATTAACTATTACAATTAAAATTAACTACAGTTTCAACCCTTAGTAACCCTAATTTCCAGTGAAAAACCTAGGAAGTAATCTGAACTGTTTTATATCAGTATTTATAGATAAAAACCATTTCATAAATTTTTAGAAAGATATGTTCCCAGCTGAGCATGGTGGTTCACATCTGTAATCCCAGCACTTTGGGAAGCCAAGGCAGGAGGATCACTTGAGGCCAGAAACTCAAGACCAGCTTGGGCAACACAAGACTCTCATTTCAAAAAATAAAAGAGATATGTTTCCTCAATTTTTTTTATTTACTAACAGATCTAAATATATTTAGCTTTTCTATACGATGTAAAATAAGATGAAGTATAGAAACTTAAGCTTATGTTTAATAATTAGTGTTTTAGTATTTTATAATAACTTAGAAATGACTCAAACATTTTATGATTATCTGTTACTTAATTTAACATAATGTGTCTTTAAGATTTTTAAATTACTGAAAAGAATCTTCAAACTATGACACAGGTACACTACCTAATGTCTTCTACAGTCATACTGAGTCTCAAATACCACATGGCACCCGGGACAGCTACGAAAGGCAGGGACCTTCTGAATCCTGAATTTACACAGCAGGTGTAGAGGTCAGAACACTGGATGGAGCTGTAAAGAGAATGCCTGGAGGATCTGACTCTTCCTAGTATAACCAAGAAGCAAAGCTGGGCCATATTGGGCCTGGCTCTGCATTGGAGCTGGTGGCCCAGGCATTGACAACACAGGATGTGTCCCCAAGCCCACAATAGCCACTTGACCAGGCCCCAGTATCCAGAGGCTCAAAACCAAATACTTATGTAAGCTCCCAGTAAGATGTGTGCAAACCTTCAGGGGAGCCCAACAGCCAGCCCTTATAGCTTTAGCTTACAGATAAATCAAGCAAGTATCAAAAATATTATAGAAGCAGCAGTTTTGTTGCCTTAAAACATGTATTAGAGACAGCGTAAACCTGTCTGATCAGTAGATCCAGGCAAAAATGTTTGAATTATATTTAATACTGACAATTCTGGAGATATTCCTATTTTATTATACCAACAATTTTAAAACTAGCTTTATCTACCAAGTATCATTTTAGAGCACATAGAAATATCACATGAACATAACATATATAGACACACAGATATACAGACACACAGAAGCACATCTTAAAGCTTTCATGAAGGTTTTGCATTGGCCAGTTTACAAATAATTTTTCTTTCCTCTATTCAGACTATCCATTTCCCAATTACCTATTTCATTGTCCTAAGTAATTGTTAGTTATGTAACCCTACATTTACACTTCTAAACGGATGCCTTTTAGGTGAAACAAAGGAGAAAACGTGTATCTCAAAAGCACAGAGACTTCAGGCCTAATCATTATACCATCATTTGCTCAAATCAACAAAGGAGAGTGTAGGTAAGGGCCCAGTTAAAATGGCCAGGAAAATCACCTTATAGGTAACACATGTTATGTAAATCTAATCTACCTTTCACAGTTTCTAGTGACTCAGTCCTCCCTCTCTTCCCAGTGCACAGAGGAGTCAATCTTAAAATCTAAGATTTCCTTTATAGATGTATTTTTTAAAATATAAAATGGTTTTAAAATAGCTAGCTAAGTGCCAGAAAGATGTATTTTGGAGACCAACTTAGTTCAATAGGTGGACTTTTAAACTTAGTGTCTGTTTCTTAGCTAAAATTACAGAGTTCAGGGTGAAACCCATTAAAGAATAGGGCAGGGAAAGCATTCTCTATGCCTGAACTCAGCATGGATAGCTCTGAAAAATAATTAAGCCCTCTTTACCTGAGGGCCTGCCTTTTGTAAATACTACAGCCAACTTTCTTTTCACCTTCAGGGCAGAATAGAAACTAAGCCAAAAAGTTAGCAGATTCAATTTTTCTTATCAATTAATTGCTTAAGCTTTCTATTTGCCTTTCAAAAAGCCTTTTTAAAAAGATAATAAAAATATTAGAATCTTTTTAGAAGCTTCTGCCCATCACTAGGCATTCCTGGATAAGCCTAATTTCAGGAGCCCTCACTTTTAAATGCCTTTCTTAAAGTGCAGTGTTGTTCATTTGGAAAGTTCTACTGTAATTTTAAATTATCTTTATTAAGATTTTGCCAACTTTGTGTTTTCTGCTTCTATAGCTGGAAGATGGAGAGCTCAGTTCTTCAAAAATTAAGGGTCCTATTGTTGTGGAACTTTTCCTTAGCTCAGCTAAAGATGGGGTTCTTGTTTCATGGCCACAAAAGATTAGGCCTGCAGACAATTTGAAGGGTGAGTAAGGCAGGGTTTTACTGGGTGAAAAGGGAAAGAATGGGAAACGGGCCCTCAGCAAAGCCAGAGTCCCTGCTGGTGCACTTCCTGCCTTGCAGTTTGAATCCCAGGTTCCATACAGGAAGAGGAGGGGCCAGGCTCCTCCTGGCTGTAAACCGTGTGAACTTCTGTGGCTCCAACTCAGTGTGCACTCCTCCCAGTGTGCAGGCTGGCTGGAGTTTCTCTGAGGACTCCTTCCCACCTGGCTGTCTCATTATTTTTACATTGAATCTTGGCTTTGGCTTTCAGATCCCTTTGATCAACTTAGCCAATAATTCATTCCTACCTAAGCACACAAGAAAAAGGATTGGTTACAGCTGGATGTCTGCCTTATTTGAACACAGCTTAAACAGTTGGCTGCCTTGAATAGGCTGAAACTATAATTCGTACAAGAATAGGTTACTTTATGTGTGACTTTGAAAAACTTACTTAAAACTCAGTATGCCTCACTTCCCATATTAGCAAAATGGGAATATTAATAGTTCTGGCCTTGAGGGGTGACTGTGAAGATAAAATGAGTCAGTGCCTTCATTGCTTGCCTTCCCAAACTACCAGGCCAAAGCCATATTAGTATATATCTTAATATATATTAGAAAGATATATATATGTGTATGTATATACTTTTTAAGACAGAGTCCCACTCTGTCACCAGGCTGGAATGCAGTGGTGCGATCTCGGCTCACCGCAACCTCCGACTCCCTGGTTCAAGCGATTCTCCTGCCTCAGCCTCCTGAGTAGCTGGGATTACAGGCATGCACCATCATACCCAGCTAATTTTTGTATTTTTAGTAGAGATGGAGTTTCACCATGTTGGCCAGGATGGTCTTGATCTCCTGACCTTGTGATCTGCCCCCCTCGGCCTCTCAAAGTGCTAGGATTACAGGCATGAGCCACCGCACCCGGCCTGTATATATTTTTTGATTCATTTATTCACTGATGGACACTTAGGTTTACACATTCAGTTATGTACAGTTTGGGATGTATGGAGACAAAATCTCTGCAAATTTCTGAATGCTAGAGTTCCCAAGGCATTTTCTGCAGGATTGTCATTTACTACTAGTTTTTGTGTGACCGAGTCAGACACCTAGGCCTCTAACTGGATCCAATCTAGTTAATTACCAGATCCAATCTCATTCTAGAGCCAGGCCAATTTCTGCTGGGAATACTGAACCCGGTTTGGATACAAAATTTGCTCAAACAAACTCAAATAGCTCAAAACACAAATCTGTGACGCCTCAAAATCCAAGAGAGAACTTACCATTCCCAGCTGCTGTGAGAGAGCGATGGACACAGTGGGCCCAGTGAGCACCTCGCTTGGTCACTGGATGCTCTCAGGGGTCGCTGGAAGTTCTACTTCAAACCCCACTTCTGATGCTATCTGTTGAAAGAAAAACTTTAGACAAATTAAATTTAGCATAGTTTAATTGAGCAAAGAAGAATTCATGAATCGAGAAGTTCCCAGAACCAGAATAAGTTCAGAGTAACTCTGGAGCTGCCCCATCGTTGGATAATATTTATGGACAGAAGAAGGAAAGTCATGCACAGAAAATGGAAGTAAGGTACAGAAACAGCTGGATGGGTTACAGCTGGATGTCTTGTCTTATTTGAACACAGTTTAAACAATTGGCTGCCTTGGATTGGCTGAAACTCTGTAATTAGTTAATTAGTACAAGAATAGGTTACAGTCTGTTTACACATCCGTTTTTGTTTGTTTGTTTTTTGAGATGGAGTCTTGCCCTGTCGCCTAGGCTAGAGTACAGTGGCGCGACCTTTAATTCTAGCTACTCAGGTGGCTCACTGCAACCTCCAACTGCCTGGTTCAAGCGAGTCTCCTATCTCAGCCTCCTGAGTAGCTAGAATTAAAGGTGCCCGCCACCACACCCAGCTAATATTTGTATTTTTAGGAGAGATGGGGTTTCACCACGTTGGTCGGGCTGGTCTCAAACTCTTGACCTCGTGATCTGCGTGCCTTGGCCTCCCCAAAGTGCTGGAATTACAGGTGTGAGCCACCGTGCCCAGCCCACATCCAGTTCTGTACAGTCCAGGATATATGGAGAAACCTTTGCGCTGAACTTAAAATATGTAAGGAGGCAGCTTTAGTCAAAACATAATTTAACATTAGTTACCTGATGTTGGACAAGTCATTAAACCTGTCTGCTTTGACTTTTTTGTCTGTAAAATGGGGATAATATCAGCTCCCACCTCTTAATGCTCCTTGGAGGATTAAATGAGTTAATATCTCTAAACACAACAGTACCTGCATTAATAAGCACTATATAAATGCTAATTCAAATCATCATTGTATTCTATAAGAATCTGAATAACCTAATAATCCCATTCAATAATTCTGAGTCCTGTTCTGTGCCAGGAGCAGCATATAGATGGGAGGCTCCAGATAAGCAAGTCCTGACTTTGGCCCCCAGGGTGCTTACAAAATGTTTTTAATGGGAAAAACATGAAGGAATAATTTACCTGATCCAATCTTGGGCTTAGAAAAGAGCAAACCTCTGTGAAAAAGGCCTGGGCCAGACATAGCAGCTGTATCTATCCTCTTTATATGGGTAGAAAGGTGAAGGCCTCAAGTGAGAAATATCTGCTGCTACTTGTGGGAGACTGTATTTTCCAAGAATGGCAGCAATAATACCACCCATTCCACATGTTTTTCTGGAACCTTGGCACTTTCCCATCAAGAAGTGGAGTCTAATTCTCTCCTCTTGAACCTGGGCAGGGCTCCCAGCTTGCTTGGAAGAAACAGAATGCTGTGAAAGTGACACTGAGTGACTTCTGAGGCTAGGTCATCAAGATCAGGAATAGGGATTGGAGGGGGCTTCTGCCTTTGTGGCTGCAACATTTGCCTTTGGAGCTCAGAGCTGACACTGAAGAAGCCTGAGGCTGCCATGCTGTGGGGAAGCCCAGGCCACACAGAGAGGCCATGTGCAGGTTCTCTGGATGACAACCTCAGCTGTGGAATGAGGTCCCTCCTGGAAGCCAGATACGTGAGTGAATATACTTACAGATGCCTCCAGTCCCTGTCTGCTTTCTCTTCCCTAGTCTTTGAGTTTTCCCAGAAGAGGTTTCAGACATTGAGGAATAGGGTAAAACCTGTTCCCTTTGCAAATCTGTAACCCACCGAATTAGCGTATAAAAATGGTTATTCCAAGTCACTAAGTGTTGGACTGATTTGCTATGCAGCAGTAAAACCGGAACACTGCAACAGACACTTCTTTCTCTAGAGATCTTAGAGAAAGAAAATGTGTTCACAGCACAGTTAGATTTGTTTCTTAATGAATCTAAAGAGTCCCCAGTGATTAAGCATGTTGCAGCTGGAAGTTTCTAGAGCTGCCATCCTTGCCAACATCAGGCTGTGATGGTGCCTAAGAGAGTCATCACCAGCATCACCAGCAGAGAGGGCAAGGAGGGTGATGCAGCCTCTTCACCTGCCCAAGACTGTTTCACAGCTCTTCTGTGGAACTGGCCCAGATTACAACAGCTCATGCAGATGAAAGTACCAGGTTAATAATGGAGAAATGTTAAATCCAGCTGGAGGAATGCAATTCCCCTTAAGAGAGGAGCTCTTCATTTGGTTTGTGAGATGGTTCTCACATTTTCCAGCTTCTGTGATTCATCTTATTATCTGATGTTTTCTTAGAGCTCTATATTTCATGTCTATTATTTAGTTCTAGTCTCATAAAGTGGGAAGTCGTTTGTCAACCTCATTTTTAGAGATGTAGAAACTAAGATTCAAAGATTAAACCAGGCTGGGTGCGGTTGCTCACGCCTGTAATCCTAGCACTTTGGGAGGCCGAGGCAGGCGGATCACCTGAGGTCAGGAGTTCGAGACCAGCCTGACCAACATGGTGAAACCCCGTCTCTACTAAAAATACAAAATTAGATGGGCGTGGTGGTGCATGCTTGTAATCTCAGCTACAGGAGGCTGAGGCAGGAGAATCCCTTGAACCCAGGAGGTGGAGGTTGCAGTGAGCTGAGATCGCACCATTGCATTCCAGCCTGGACAGCAAAGTGAGACTCCAACTCAAAAAAAACAAAAACAAAAAGACTAACGCAGAGCACATTTATCTAATCAATAGTAAAGCTCAGACATAACCCCATGGTTTCTGATTCTAAATTCAGGTCTCTCTTATCATTGTACTCTGGAAAGAATCCCTGTCCTGGACCAAAAGGAAAAAAAAAAAAAAGATTTGTGTTTGTTCTAAAGTCATCAGAAGAGTGCTCATTAAAGGTGTGGTGTTTCTTACTTTTTAGTTCCTTCCAGAGTAATATAATTCTGCACTTCATCTGTGCAAAGAATTTAGTTTTCTGTTCTGAGTGTTGGCTTTGTGTACTTCTGCCCAGGAGTGAGATGAAACAAATGTCATGATGGCTCATACCCTCCCACCCTTCCCCAACCCTCCAAAAATGATTTGAAGTATTTGCCATTTTACACCCATGGTGTAAATGCTCCTATCGTGGCTGTCTTCAAGCGACTAAGTTGACATCATTCACCATTAAGTTGAGAAGAGATAGGCACATTGAGCTTTTGAGAGCCAGCACTAGCCCCCTCTAGCAATGGATGAAGCCAGTGCAATTACAGGTATTTTGTAACTGTTTCTTCCAAAGCAATCAAATGTCTTCCACTCAAATTTTTCAAATTATTGAAGACAGTGAAAAAAGACAGTGCTGTTATTCACGTATGAGGACAGGACTATTTTTGCTTCTATAAAGGGTCACACTCTGAAGCAGCCATCAACTCTAGAGAGCTCCTTGTATCTTTCACCAGTAACACAAACCCAATGATACAAGTACTGAACACATATCTTAGTGTGTTGTGACCATCTTGCTTGCATTGGCGTGGGGGTGGAAGGCAGTATTATAGGGCTGAGTTGGAGCAGCCGACAAGCCTGGAAAAGAATCCCACAAACTTCAGTCTTGCTCCCCACGTCAGTTTTGATAGGCCTGAAGCTTATTTGGTTACCTTGGCTCCCACCCTGCTGGTGAGTAAGGAAAATGTTGAAGGGGAAGAGGGTCACCAGTGTCTGCTGGGACCGCTCCTCCAAGGTGTGAGTCACTTAACCAGATGGGAGTGCACAGACCTCCTTCTTGCCCCACTGGTCTCCCCAGTGTCTCCCTCCCCATTTTCTTCTTTTTCTCTTCCCTGTCCTCTTTGCCCCTAGATATCTGGTAGCGTGTCCTTCTCCTACAAAAGAGCAGATGGAGAGAAGTGGGTGGAGACCTCAAGAAGGAGATTTGGTTCAGATGGAGCTAGAGATCTGAGAGGTGTTGGTGCCAGGAGGCAGCTGACTCCAAGGGACAGGGCAGTGAGTTTCCCAGCATGAGGATAGACAGCTGGTGGGGATTTGTCTACACTCTTCAGGAGCCAGAAGCTCGCATGAAGGAGGTAGAGGTGGTTAGAATACATGTGAAGGTTTATGATCTGGCTCCTGCCCTCCTCCCTCCCAATCTCTAGTCATTTCCAAATTGAACTTGGAATTCTTTCAAACCCTAGCCTTCTCACTCTTTGCCACTGCTATTCTCTTGCAGTAAATTTCCTACCCCGACCCTGCCCTACCTTTGTAATTCCTGCTCACCATTTGACACCCAGCTTAGGTGTCACCCCCTAAGGAATCCTTTTCTGGCTTCAGCCTCACCTTGACACTCACACACACACACCCCCCACACCATACACACCACAATATGAGCTAGAAGTGCAGCCTTAAATTCTGGCCCACAGTTGCCATGGTCTGAATGACCCTAGTCAAGACCTTCCACCCTCTGAAGTCACATTTCCTCATCTGTAAAACCAGGGGTTGGGTAAGCACTTCAGTTATTCTGAAGTTCTGGGGAAGTGTACACCATGAATACGTGCCCACATTGGTACAGCAAATGGCACAGCCTCTCCATTCTATTCTAAGTAGAAGAAAAAGCACCTGAGGTCAAAGCAGTTTATTTGCAGGTACTCACAATGCAGCTTTGCCCACAGTGGCTCTAATTCCATGCTGACATTTTCGATGCAGCCCGGCTTAATAGAGAAAAATGACTCTATTGCCTAAACAAGACAGACTTTATTAGGAGTTGAGATGGATAGTGGGGGAACTTTTATTTACATGTCACATTTCTCTAATTCTAAGGAATTTAAGCATCCTCTTTGCTTTCCATTTCCTACCCATCCCATTAATAAAGATTAATGAAAAGACTAGAATTGGTTGAGAAAAACAAATCAAAATAACAATTTTCAGTCCTTTTGCCTAAAAAAAGGCATGCTCAATTTGGGCAACTCATTAAATTCCATCCAGTTAAAACTGTGGCTATTAGGCAATTAATACTTAGTTTTGGTTCTGCTTACTCTCTGGAAAGTCTGTTTTCCAAAAGCATAAATGTGACAGGAAATTTCTTCACTCCGTTTATCCCTAGTAGTTTAAATATTATTTCATAATTGCAAATGGGCTTTTCCCCACTTCTTGCACAGGCAGGCTATGGCTGGTCTTCTTTTTGGTGGTATGGGCATGGTAATATATTTTTTCCCAGGGTGACAGAGAGAAGCAATTGAGCCTCATGGATGAGAAAACTCTCTCCAAACTCTAAGAAAAATGCAAGGAGGCGGCATTGCCAGCAGTGGTCCTGGACAGGCTTTCAGTTCTAGGTCAAGTGTCTTTTGTTCAGGATTAGCCTGGGATCTCTGGAGAGAATGGGGTGATACTCCAGGCCTGTCAGATGGAACTAGGGGAATACAGACCCCCTTAGCACAGTTTAAGAGGAGTCTCAAATTGCAATGCTTGCACAAGACCAAGGTTTCTCCATGTTCTTTATTTCTCCTTTTCTTTCACAACTTTTTCTAAAGGAGTGATATTTCTTGCCAGTCTAGTTCCTCAACCTCAAAATTCGAGGAATTTGCAAATAGTTATCTCACATGGCCCTGCCTTAAAGTTTCCTCGTGAACGCTTCCATCCCACGTCTAAAAGTATGTCTATAAAGAGCAGATCTTTGGGTCCTTGGTGCACTGGAAAATTTTAAATGCCAAAGCAGTATTATTTATACTTGCCCTTGAGTGCAAATGTTCCTCTGAGAATAACACTTAAGGATTCTTTGTATATAAGGAATGGCTTCATTAGACGTTTAAGACTTAAGGGACCAGGGCATCATGTTTTCAATAGAGGCTTCTAGATTTATTTATTTGCTTCTCAGCATGACAAAGTTTGGCTAATTGATCTGTTGAGGAGGAATAAATCCATGCACATTTACAGCTCCTCCCAGTCACACTGAAGACTGAGCTACACTGGTCCTGTCCTTATCATTTATGCTGCCAAGTAAAATACAGTCCTTCATGTTTTACTCACGTGTACCAGAAAACCAGCACCAGAGAAGGACTTCTAACCAGGTAAACCCTCCATTTAGAAGAACGTGTCTCCTAGGCTCTTGCAAGGGGATGGATCTCATTATTCAAAGTATCAAACAGGCAGAAGATTTGAAATGCCAATAATTTTTTTGTGTATGCCGATAAATGCTTTCTTCTGAAGAGTATCAGGAATTCACTTTAATAGGACCAAGTGTTTATTGATCAGTTATTTTGTATTAGGCATAAGGATGGGAGAATACAGAGTTGATTAAAGCCCAGCACTACTGGTAGAAATATACATCTCACATCTGAGTGGTGTTTTACAGGTCATTCTGTATTTGCCCATCATCTTTCAGTTCCCCCAATCTCCTTGAGAGTCTATACTCTTTCATAGAAACCAAAGATCAAAGAGGAGACTTGACTTACAGAGGATGCACAAAGAGTCTACCTATGAGTCCGTGTCAACTCCCCCAGGTTCCTGCTTCTCAGGTTTTCCCTAGGGCCATGGGTTGTTTTTCTAGGAGGCAAGAACCTAGGATCTAGACTACTTGGGGATGACAAATGTTGAATTGAAATGAAGGAGGAAAATGTCCATAAGATCTCAACATGGGGCAGTGCAAAAGGAGAGCATGGCCAGATGGTGATCTGGGGAGGAGATAATTGCAGCAAGCACGGAACTTCTGACATGGCTCTGGGCAAGCCCACCCCTGACAGATTGGCCAGAGGGTAACCTTAGAGCAGGCCCAGACTTCAGTTATATATCAGGTGTTTTTAGGACATCCAAATGTCTGCCCAGAAACCAAGAGCTTTAGACTTTTCCCAGCCTCTTCTGAGATACTGGAGGTTCCAGGGGTTACAGCAACTGAGGTTTCTGGGCAAGGAATGTAGTCCCAGCTACCTGGAAAGAAGGCCAAAGATTTGCTGTAACTTTTTCTCCCTGAGTAGCCTTCACAGACGCTTTGGTCGTAATCTGACTGCTCAGCACTTTAGAATCCGTTACCAGAAGCTTCAGTGGACCTGTTGTAGTTCACCCTTAAGATCAAGAAGAGTAATAATAAAAAATGAAAGAGAAATTGGTTTCTCAGTAGAATTGAATAATTCTTTTTCATTTGCACAAAAGTAAACACCTGGATGAACTCCTGCTGCTACCTTGCACTGCAGCATCCAGAGCACTTATATATTATTGCATGCCATTTCATGGTGATATTAGTAATTGTTATTTTCTCTGAGTGATGAGGAAATTGAGACTCAGAGAAGTTAGTATTTGAGTTTCCGTATCCAAAGCTGCTGCTTGTTCTATCACATTAGTGGTGGTTCCATGATACTTGATGAAACTCAAGACAACCCATGAAGATAATTTTGGGATGCTTTAGTAGAGAAAGAGAGGGCCAAGAGGCCTGCACCCTAACCTTGATTCAACCAAAGCAGTTACAGTTTTAATTTATTTTATACGGTGGATTTCATGTATTATTTCATTATTGCAATTCATGATTCCTGAACTTTTAACTAACACTTTCAAGTGAATAGGCCCAAGCACCTTGGATCTGTATCCACCTATATCCAACTCTGGAGTTCTTTGAACTTTGAATCATCCTGGGTGAAGGCTCTTACAGTAACTTGGGCCTCTTTGTCATTCACGGCAAACCCAACTGGGGCAATGAGAGAGTTTTTATTCTTATTGTACCACTGAATCCTTGTGTGACTTTGAGCAAGTTACTTCTCTCTGACTTCAGTTTTTTTAATCTATAAGATGAAGACACTGGCCGGGCGCAGTGGCTCACACCTATAATCCCAACACTTTGGAAGTCCGAGGTGGGCAGATCACAAGGTCAAGAGATCAAGACCATCCTGGCCAACATGGTGAAACCCCATCTCTACTAAAAATACAAAAATTAGCTGGGTGTGGTGGGGCGCACCTGTAGTCCCAGATACTCGGGAGGCTGTGGCAGGAGAATTGCTTGAACGCAGGAGGTGGAGGTTGCAGTAAGCTGAGATCGCACCACTGCACTCCAGCCTGGTGACAGAGCAAGACTCTGGCTAAATAAATAAATAAAATAATGAGAACACTGAACTGGATAAGCTTCCAGGCTGGCGTTCTGTGAATGTTGAGGGAGGGGTGGAGATTGTTGCATTCTTCCAAAATAAAGTACTCGTGTACTGGCTGGAGGCCTGTCAATAAGGTTGCCAGATTCAGCAAGTGAAAATGCAGCACTCTCATTTAAATTTGAATTTTAGATACACAACAAAGTCTTATTTATTTATTTATTTATTTATTTTTAGTATAAGTATATCCCATGCAATATTTGGGACATACTTAAGAATATCTGTTGTATATCTGAAATTCAAATTGTGTCTGAGTGTTCTATATTTTATTTGCAATTCTACTTTAGAAGTATATTTTTTCCTTTAGCAAAGAGTTGATATAAATAAGCAAACAAATAAAAAAACTCTTTGTTAATTATGGTCTTGTTGCCTTGGTAAAATCTTTCTCTTTCAATTTGTGACATCATAGCACCCAAAAGTATTAAATGTAGAAGGTGATAACAGTACCATTCCCAGAGTTTCCTTTAATTTAATTTACTTATTTTTTTTTACAATTTTTTTATTTTTTACAAATTTTTTACTTATTTAATTTACTTATTAATTAATTTACTTATTTGTGTTTAAGAAACACAATTCTGTGCCTGCATATAACATTTTGTGCTTGCATATGACATTTTGTGCTTGCATGGGGGATATCTTTTTTCATATCTGATGATTTTAACAAAAGCTCTTGACTTGAACAAGCCTCTCTTCTCCCTACCCCAGACATGTTCTTTTGGCCTAAACCCATACTGCCATCACAAGGAATTTTGTTGGCTGTCTGAATTTCTTTCAAATTCTGTTACTTTGTGTTTTAATATGCACACACACATGCTCACACATACATGCTCCTCCAATCCAAACTCTTGCACTTTTTGCTTCTCAACCAGTGATTGCATGTGGCTGGTGGTTTACTGATTGTGAAATCATCTTGAAATATCAGTGAAGAAAGTGTTCCTCCTGCATTTGTGGCTAAACTCCCCTCAGGAACTTCAGGTTTCTTTCTGCCTCCTTGGGCAGAAGGAAGCACTCACTTGGGGTGGCCCTGGGGCAGTGAAGCAAAGAGGCTGTCAAAACCAAGCCTTCTGATAATGTGCTCCTGACATTTTGTCAGATGTCTTTTGCAAACATTTGGTCCTAATGGTAATAGCATGCATCCTGCATAGAATCACTGGTGAATCTGGGCACTGCTGAGCCTGTAGGTCAGAAGGTATAGAGGGACTGTACCCTAAGCCTAGGCAGAGAGCCTCTCCAGAGCAAGAACTGAGTAGCAAACGTGGCCTTGACATTGGCTCAGTCCTTTGAGGGAGGAGGAGAGCTTTTCAAGGAAGAAGGTCAGTGCAGAGGGAAAGTTTGTGCTAGGAGCCACCAGATAGGCAAATATACAGTGAGCTGGACCCAGAGTGGGTGTCAGCATTACTTCAGTGATGGTCCCTCCATAAAAGAAGTTGCAAGGGCCTTGTACGCAGGCCTTACCTCTTGGTTTGGCTGAGCATCCAGCTAAAGCCCCTCCACCCCACCCAGCCCCTATATATGCTGCACATCCTGCACAGAGGATTACATAAAGAGGAGGTGTGTGGAGGGAGGGCTGTGCCTGAGGGACTGGAGATTTGCACTTTCTTCCCATGTCTACCGGAAACTTACTACAAGACCTCTGGTGTAAAGATCCATCTGGTCATAGGGCTTTATTGAGCTGATTTCTAAGAGATGTTCCAGGCTTGCCTTTCTGTGATTCTTTTTAAAATTATTATTATTGTCATCATTATTGTGCAACAGTTCATTCATCCGAACATAGGTCTAGAGATAGGAAATTCTGCAGCTTAGGAAAAACGGCAACAGAATATGTAGGACATACTTTTTCCATGCATATTCACCCAGAGACACTTTAAGAAATCAAGGTAAGTATCAAAACACAAAGGCATAGCCAACTTTCATTATATCCTATTGATATCTAATAAACACATATCTACTATGCACCGCGCTCTGCTTATAGGACAGAAATAAAGCAGGCAGCGGCCTTGTCCTGGGAAGCTCACAGTCCCAAGGGGCCCTGACAATCCCAAGAGCTGGAGATTTGTGATAGTGGGAGGAAGGGCAGAGCCCTGTGGGGACCTGAGGAAGAAGTGGTGCATTTACCTCTGCTTATTTCTCTTGTGGAAGTGATATGTGGGGGTGGAGGTGGCTTGAACTATTGGGGCAGCAAATAGAGGAAGTATATGCTATCAAAAATAGAGGGGCAAGGAGGAAATAAAAGTTCTTCTAATCTAACAGAAACACAGAGGGGCCTGACAAGGCTAAGGAATGAGTAATTTTCCCTGGTGCTTTTGGACCTGAGCTGTCTGTAACATGGAACTGGGTTCAGGAAAGGGAACCTGCCACAGCCACATTGTGACACTTGCCTGATGTGAAAAGGCAGAGCAGTGGGTGCTCTGGAATCCCTTAGTAAGGGATATATAGGGGGGCTTCCCATGGGAGGATAAGGAGGTTGCTCCCAGAGGTTTTGTGTTCCTGTTTAGGCCACCTGGTGTGGCCACTATTGCAGATGGGGACAGGCTGGGCCCAGAGATGCCTTCTGTTCCGTTCCTGGACTCAGTGCTGAGGATGTGAGCCTCCCATCCCAACGAGGGCCTCTGTGTATCTCGGCTGCAGTGGTCCGTGCAGAAAGGGAAGACTGACCAGGGAACCAGCGGCTATCATGCTATCATGACACAGGACCCTCAAAGTCTCCCTGCCATGGAATGTGGGCATGGCATCTGTAACTGTCCTTTGTTTTACTTCCCTGGAACCCAAGTTAGGTCCTTTGGCCCTTTATGCACAAGCTCAAACACTCTTCCACCTGAGAATTCACAGAACAATCCATCCGCTCATTGTCTCCAGCCATTGCATGTTATACACAGTCCCTGGCCCATAGTCAGCAGTCAATAAATATTTAATGGCTGAATAAATAATCAAATGACTTTAATAAACAAATGAAGAAAATACAGAAAGTGATCATAATGAAGTGTAACAGAGGGCTCTTTGGGATGGCATGTGAGCTGGGGCCTTAGATGCTCAGGGCCTCAGCAGCTCTCCCTTCTGTAGGCACGGAAGTCAGAGAGGCACCCCAGCAGGAAAGAGAGCATGTACAAAGCCGTGGACGTGCTAAGTCATGAGATCCATTTAGGGAATGTCAAGCTAGTGCCCAGGTTTTAGGGAAATATGAGCCTAGAGGGACTGGCTGAGGATAAGTCATGAAAGCATGCAATAGAGTTCAGATTTCATCTCATCAGAAAAAAGAAAAAAGAAACTATATAGATAGTGTAAGAACTTTATTTCCATTGGAGCTCAAGAATCTCCTTCTAGGCCAGGTACAGTGGCTCCCACCTGTAATCCTAGCACTCTGGGAGCCCGAGGCGGGCAGATCACCTGAGGTCAGGAGTTTGAGATGAGCCTGGCCAATATAGTGAAACCCCGTCTCTACTAAAAATATAAAAAAAATTAGCTGGGCATGGTGGTGTGGGCCTGTAATCCCAGCTACTCGGGAGGCTGAGGCAGGAGAATTGCTTGAACCAGGGAGGCAGAGGTTGCAGTGAGTCGAGATCGCACCGCTGCACTCCAGCCTGGGCAACAGAGTGAGACTCTGTCTCAAAAAAGAAAAAAGAATATCCTTCTGGAAGCCTTTTCAAGTTTGTCTAAAACATTCTTGAGTTGACTTTAATATTTCTTTGTCACCCTTAAACAATGCTGTGTTTCTGCTGAACACTCTAGGCTTTCCAAATGTGGGTATGCCCCACTTTTGTTTCTGCCTCTGCTGATGCTGGCCCACACTGATGCCTCTCTGCCACCTTTTCCCCCACACTGTAGCCTCCAAAGTCCAAAAAGCTAAGGGGGGATAGAATCAGTCATGGGAGCTATAAGTCTTGGGGAATTCCATGATCATTTTATTTCAATGTTGCTGAGGCCAGAGCACCAAGGGGCTTAATAGAGCATCATAGAACTCAATAGCTCTCAACCCCCAAGTCAGAGAGCTCCTTTAAAAGTCCTCATTGAGATTATTTATTAAGTCAATCCTCATACCTCCTCTTCAAGGCAATTCCAGCAAAGAATATCAGTGGCTGGGTTCAAGCCTTCAGAATTGACAGAGAATACATGTTCATGGTTTAAGCCATCCAGTCGTGGAACTCTGTCACAGCAGCCCTGAAAAACGAATACCCACACATATTCCAAAAGGGGCTGAGAGCCTTTAAAGCCGTCTTATCTTCCTGTCCCAGGAGCAGTGCTCTTGCCTGTATTCGAGGTGGACTGTATTCCTGGGCAGCAAGGTCCAGTGAGTTCTTAAGAGCATTCTGAAGTACCTGCAGTCACATTGCTACATCCCACTGGTGCTCAACAATGCTTTAGTTTAACCAGATTTTAAGTCATGGCTAAACCTTCATTAGAACAATGATGACGGGAATTCAGAATATGGGAAGTATTCATCGTATTCTTTCTTTGTAAAACTTTCCATTTTGTGCGGCCTCTGCCAGTTCTCTGCCATTTGCACACATACATGTGTACTTGCAACCTTAGTCCACATTCATCTTTGTGAAGTCTCCTCTTTTCCCTGCATGATATTGTTACATCATCTTATAATGTCTGCCTAATATTCCATCTGGTCGTTATACCGCAATTATTTCACCATTACACTCTTGTCGGTCATTAATTTGAACTTTTTTTTTCTTTTTTACTCATTTAGATAATGTTACAAAGAACATTTTGTGTGTATAAACATGTTATTCTTTTGGATTATTTCTTTTGGATGCATTTCTAGGATCCATTTACTGGCTCAAAGAGTACACAGAGTGTCAAGGATTTTGTTACATATAATTACACTTTTTTTTTTTTAAGAATCTAGCTGCTTTTTTTTCTTTAATTTTCTTTCTTTATTTTCTTTCTTTTGTTTCTCTCTTTTTCTTTCTTTCTTTTCTTTCTTTTCTTTTCCTTTCTTTCCTTTCTTTTCCTTTCTTGTCCTTTCTTTTCCTTTCTTTCTTTCTTTCTTTTTTTTTTGACAAGGTCTTGCTCTGTTGCCCAGGCTGGGGTACAGTGGCCCGATCATGGCTCACTGCAGCTTCAACCTCCTGGGCTCAAGTGATCTTCCCATTTCAATAGTTGACTCATTTTAATAGTTTATTAAATGGCCTCCTGAGTAGCTGGATCTACAAGAGTGTGCCACCACGCCCTACTAATTTTTGTATTTTTCCTAGAGATGAGATTTCACCGTGTTGCCCAGACTGGTACTTTTTATTTTTATCCTTTAAAAATAAATTATATTATGTTTATTTAAGGTATACAACATGTTATGCAATACACATAGCAAAAAGGTTACTATAGTGAAGCAAATTCACATACTCATTATCTCCCATAGTTACCTATTGTTTTTGTTTTGTTTTTATGATAAGTGCAGCTAAAATCTACTCACTTAGCATGGATTCCACATAAGTACAATTTTATTGCCTATAGTCCTCATGTTGTACATTAGCTCTTTAGACTTGTTTGTTCTCCATATTTTATTAAACTATTTTTTGAAAATAGTTTAACAAACTAAAAAAATACAGGGCTACCAGAAAGTATGTATCAAATAGTGCTTCCTTACACTTTGCATTTTTATTTTCTGGATTAAAATGTATATATTTCTTCTACAGGACTGTCCTTGTGTTAATTGATATTTACCAACTTGGGTCCTAATTATACTGGCTGTTTATACATCACAGACACTAAGTCAAACTATCTGTGCCATGTTTTTGAAAACAGTTTCTCTTTTTGCTTCAGTGGCACTTGTTTTCATTAAAGAGAGTTACATTTTATTCACAGGAAGTTGTTAGAGGGTTGAATTTTTTGTTCTTTTGACACACTATTTATTTGCTATTTACCAAATATTCGTCTAAAATTATGATTAAATATTCAGTTCTGTTATTTCTGTGGCTCATTATAATCGTTCATTTTCAACCCATTTGGAGTTTTTTATATAAGCTGTAATCTAAATTAATTTATCTCTAAATTGTGATCCAGTTACATAAAATAAGTACTTATATGTGTTAATTATCCCAGTTAGTTTTGATGCTGACTTAATCACATGCTAAATTATGCCATGGACTTTTTCCGTTATAAAAATTTATGTTCTTTACTCTGTAAGTATTATACATTTTTATTATTGTTGCTTTGTGATATGGTCTGCTTCTATTATTGCTTTTTTTAGCATTATTTTTGTGCGTGTGTTCTCATGCATTTATTTTTCTTAAGAGTTTTAGATTAATCTGTGCAGTTCTAAAAGGAGATCATTTGATATTTGGGTTAGGGCCTACATAAGCTTGCCTCCATTATTGGGTGGGTCAGGATAGAATGGCCTGGAGCAGTTTGTTCTAAGTGGTGTGGTTGGATGGAAAGAGCTGGGCTTTACAATTGGATATGTCTAGGGATGAGCCCCATCCTACCACCGGCTAGCTTGTCCAGGCTGAGTAACCCCCCAGAGCCTAATTCCCTTCTTAACCACATAGGGGTAGCACAGCCCACCTCAGGTGGAGTTGTTATCTTGGCTCTGCCACTGCCTGCCTGTCGCTCAATCATTTCCTTACATCTCTCTCAGAAGGGGGTCATTCTAATTAAATGAGAGAAAAAGGCATCTGAAACATTCAGCGTAATGTCTGCCACAATATCAGCAGCTAATTTTCATTTCCTTTTTATTTTCTCCCAATCACAATTTGTAGCTTCATTTGAACTTCTTAAGCTCCCTCCAAATGTGGATGTGTTTGAAATGGATTCCTCTGTCTCTTTACATGTGCATAGCTGTTTCTGACTGACACTCAAGGATGTTGTAGATTATTGTCCTTTTCTTTTGTTCTCTGCCCCTTTGTGAAGCTCTTGTAACACTGTGGGTGGTCCATGGTTCTTTTCAGGCTCTTATGGATTTTTTAGGTAGGTGCAGAGCTACCTTTTGGCTGAAGCCTTCTGAAAGTCATGGCTGTGTTCCTAAACAGAGGCTAGAAACTGTCAGTTCCTTGAGCCATGTTAAGGGTGGCCTCTACCAAAATTTAGGAGCTATTCTTGGTTCGCTCCCTCGAGGACTGTACTCTTGGGTATCCAATCTTTGAACCTCTCACCAAAAGAGCTAAGTTCTTCCATAGGAGGATTTCATGTCTGATTTCCACCTGTGCCTCACTCCCACCCTGTCCTCAGCCAGAACCCACATGACCTATGGTATTTTCAGATTAGGAGTCTCCTTTTGGCATCCTGTGGACTTTTCACTATTGCAAATGCACATCCACCAAGCAAGTAGTCCACTCCAGAGCAAGGTAACATGTGATGTAGCCGACTCAGGCATCTGAGAATGGGGTTCTCATCTTGGTTCTGCCACTACCAGGAAGGATATTGGGGATGTAGAAATAAGTCAGCCCTGCAGTCACTTGTAGGCTAGAGAAGAGCCAAGACTCTTCACAAAGCTGCCAATCTTGTTCTAACCAGACCGCGTTGTTACAACCAAACTGGGAACCACCATGCCATCAACATTCCTTAGTTGGAGTGGGAGAGAATCAGTTTCCCAGGAAAGCGTGGTGCTGCAACTACAATATAGAGAAATGGGGGCAAGAAATGGGGGACATGCAAATCAAGAGATTTCTGATAGTTGCTCCTCAATACCCCCAGTTAAGGGCTTAAAATTAAAAGCCCAAATCTCAAAAGCTCATTAGCCTTTTGAGGTAACATGAATATGGCTGTATCTCATTCATTTATTTACATCTCTCTCTTTTCCAAAAAGTATTTGAAATTGCTTTACAACTACAGGAAAAAGTAGAAATCATAAAATGAGAAGGAATAAAATAGGAAAGTTAGGGACTGGAGAAAAAAAGTGGAGTCAGAAATGACAGAAACACAAGTACGAACCCCTGTGCACTTGTATTTGACCACATTTGACCTTGAGTTTCCTAGCAGTCCGAAGAAACAGAAATGTTTTGGGCAAATTAGTTTATCTCTAAATCTCGGTTTGATCGTTGACAAAATGGAAATAGAAACACCTCCATCAGAAGATTGTTCTGAAGATGACATGAAATAAGGGATGCAAAACCCTTAGGTACAAATGTGTAACACAGTAGGGACCCCACAATTGCTAGTTTGTTGTTGTTACTGTTATTTCTGTTAGCAGCTGCTTTGGGGTTAGACATCAGTACTGTAGCTGGTGCATAGGTTGACTCAGCTCCAGAGGTCCTGTCCCCTTTTCAGCGTGGCACAGTCTGAGAAATGACGATGTGAAGTTAACTATACCACTGATATAAATGTGAGGTGTGAGAAATTAATTTGCTTCCAAGAGGTATGATGACAGGTAAGGACAGCGATGTCACTTTGTGTCATAGGACACAAAGGAACAATACCAATTAGATGGAATAGATGTCCCACGTATTCCAACCCACTGGCCAAAGAAGTGGCTTCAATAGAAGCAAATGCTAGAGCTTAAAGGAAGCCTCCACAGCTCAACCTCCTCTCTTTTCAGGGGGAGGGGGAGAGTTGAGTTTTCTAGCATTACACAGATAAATGCTGAAATTCCAGTTCTTTCTCTTAAAGTACCCATGGATGGGAGGTGACAAACGTGGATTTGAAGTAAAGAAAAAAAAATGCTGATTTATTTATAGTTTAGGGAAGTGAAAGTCAGCTTGAGTTCGGACCGTTCATGTTTCATTGTTATTACTTTCAGCGCAGTGCAGTTGTCCATCCTTCTTCTTTCCTCTGCTGGCCCTGGCAAGTCAGATCCCCTGGAAACAGAGGTCTTATGCGATTTCTATCTGATATGAAGGAATGTAGGTATTTAAAGGACCTTGTTTTCCTAAATG
This sequence comes from Homo sapiens, assembly GCF_000001405.40. Lineage (NCBI taxonomy): Eukaryota > Metazoa > Chordata > Mammalia > Primates > Hominidae > Homo > Homo sapiens. Next base: position 107,874,968 of record NC_000009.12, read on the forward strand.
CTTTTATATTTTGACAGAGAGTCCCACTCGAGCACATCTTTGGGCTATTTAAAACTTACAGAGGAATGCCTTCTGCATGTGCACATGTGCCCTGGAATCTAGGCAGAAGACCGGTTTATTTTGACTGGTGGTATTTGACAATCTGAATCACAGGCCAAGTTCGTCACGGGCTCCTCTCTGCCTCTTCCTAGCGATTGAAAGCCCACATACATGTAAGAAGCAGTCAGAATGGTTATGATGAAATGATGTAGAAAGAGAACTAGCTCCTAGCACGTGGTTAAATTCCTCGTATCCAGGCCACTTTGGGCCACATGTATGGCTCCCACTTTCACATGCACCCTCATCTTCCCATCCCATCAACTCGGGGAGGAGGGTGATATGATCAGCCTACGCTGTTCACAAGGCCACTCGGAGAAGTGGGCTGATGTGCTAGGATCACGGTCCTAAGACAACCCAGGTTCCAGACTCCAGCCAAGCCTAGCACCACTTCCTTGATACCACTGCCATCTATTCTTGGCAAAAAGAAAAGGAAAGGAAGCAAACAACTCCAAACCCCAAATTAAATCAATGATTTCCAAACAAGCTTTATTTTCTCCAGTCTCTGCGCAGCCTTTGGATGACCACTTTGGTATTAGCTCTCCCTTACTCAACTGCGTGCCTGGCAGATGAGTGTTCATACTCTTTGGTACAGTGGCAAAGCAATTGGATGATTTTAAATAATTTATTTGTGAGGTCCAAAGCAGTGGTGTCTGTGTATCTGGCGAGTTGTACTTCCTCTCTTCCCTCTCCTATTTCCCTTTCTGAATTGGTCACTTGGAATGCTGGGCTCCATGCGCATCTGTGTGCACTTGAGATCTGAAACCCAAGTGGGTGCCACCACCAGCTGCAGAAGCACGCCACTCGCTGTCATTTTTGGAAACCAAAAATGACTGGTCACATAACGGTGATTAGATAAAGCTTGTAATTTGTGTTTGCTGTAGTCAGCGACGTGGTATTTTGGGACAAACAGCCACTCTATGCTACATATAGCTTGGAATTTGCGGCTTTTTTGTAACCTGCCATTGTATGGTCAAGGAGGTAACAGAGAAAGAGGGGAGAGAGAATGGATGAAGGGAGAAAGGTCAGGAAGCCCCTCTCAGCAGACAGGCAGAGGACTTTGAGCTTTAGAGCTCAAAGAGCCCATAGAAAAATCTGTAGGTGACTCACCCTTAAGAGGGACCCCTTTCAATGTCAGGCACTGCCTGGCTTCCTGATAGTACAACCTTCCTTTCCTGACAGCTGGAGCCTCTTGACTCCCAGTGAGAGTCTCAGCCTTACCCCAGGCTTGGGAAGAAACCCTTATCTGAGCCGGAGCATGGCTGAAGCAGCTCAAGTTCAATTCTCCAGTTACTCAGCTTCTTAGTCTGGCTGATAGGTATTCTCTGATTGGCTGCTCAGTTCTAAAAGGCTTTCCTGTCCCCAGTTCTAGAAAAAATGTCCTTGCCTTTCCCTGAGTTCATGTCTCAGCTGGATAAAACCCTTTTTTGTTCACTAAACATTGACCAAGGGCCTTTACATATCAGGCCAGGAAGGATATTGGGGATGTAGAAATAAGTCAGCCCTGCAGTCACTTGTAGGATAGGGAAGAGCCAAGACTCTTTAGGAAGCCGCCAATCTTGTTTTAACCAGACCCTGTTGTTACAAGCAAACTGGGAACCACCATCCCATCAACATCCCCTAGTTGGAGTGGGAGAGAATCAATTTCTCAGGAAAGCGTCATGCTGCGACTGCAATGTAGAGAAATGGGGGCAAGAAATGGGGGAACATGCAAATCAAGAGATTTCTGATAGTTGCTCATCAATACCTCCAGTTAAGGGCTTAAAATTAAAAGCCCAAATCTCAAAAGCTCATTAGCCTTTTGAGGTAACATGAATATGCAATAGAATGATCAATACTTGGTGAATTGTTTGTCTGGCAAATAAAGAACAATTTGTGTTCCAATGGGAATCTTCAAGGACTTGCAGGTACTCCACAACATGACAAGAAACACTGATTACATAGAAGAAATCTTACTTAGGGCCGGAGTGGTGGCTCACACCTGTAATCTGAGCACTTTGGGAGACCAAGACGGGTGGATCGCTGGAGGCCAGGAGTTTGAGACCAGCCTGGCCAAGATGACGAAACCCTGTCTCTAGTAAAACTACAAAAATTAGCCAGGCAGTGGTGGCTCAGGCCTGTAATCCCAGCTACTAGGGAGGCTGAGGCACAAGAATCGCTTGAACCTGGAAGGAGAAGGTTGCAGTGAGCTGAGATGGCACCACTGCACTCCAGCCTGGGAGACAGAATGAGACTCTGCTTCTCAAAACAAAAACACCCAAGAAATGTTACGGAGGAAATCATCTTTGTATCTAGAAAGTAATTCTTTGTCTTCCGTTGGCCAGGGTCCAGGAGCTGTGTAGGAATAGCACTCTACTCCTGAAGGTGTGGGTTGGGAGCTGTTGGGGACCTGCTTCTCATGGGTTCTGAGAACAACCACTCACTGCTTCAGGTGGAGGTGCTGCCTTTGCCATCATTTAGGTTTCCTTTTGGGCTTCCAAACTCATGCCTTGAAAGCATTTCCCAGGTGCCATTTCAGACTCTAGCTCAATTCTCTCTGCTGTTGACACTGCCGTTTGCTCCAGAAATACACAATGGGGACTAGAAGGAAGGGTTTTCTGTAGCATTAGCATTCCTTTAAAAAATTTTAAAACTAGAACCCAGAATCCTTATTAGGTTACATTAAAAAGTCTTTTAGCCATCCCCCTGTCTAATATTTTGTGAAGTGTGTTCCAGGGAACCAAGTTCTACAGGATTCTGAGGATTACATGAGAAAAGGGGCAGGGATATGATGGAGACCTCTAAGTTCAAATAAATTTCTGGAATGCTGACTTCAAATAAAGTTAAACAGGTGTCTTTACTGTAAGAGTTCTCAGACTTTCAAATGCCTCAAATCTGTGGTAGATCTCTAAGAGGAGCAGGTAGTTAACTATGATTATAAAAGTTATTTGACAATGGAATTTTTGTTCTGAGGTGAGACAGAGTAGCACACAGATCTGAGTTTTATATTAAGCCAATATTTAGCCAATAGATTATTGTTATTATCATTATTATTATTTGAGATGGAGCCTTGCTTTGTTGCCCAGGCTGGAGTGCAGTGGGGCGATCTTGGCTCACTGCAATCCTTGCCTCCTGGGTTCAAGTGATTCTCATGCTTCAGCCTCCTGGGTAGCTGGGATTACAGGCACCTGCCACCATGCCCAGGTAATTTTTGTATTTTTAGTAGCGAGGGGGTTCTGCCATGTTGCCCAGGCTGGCTTCAAACTCCTGACCTCAGGTGATCCACCTGCCTCGGCCTCCCAAAGTTCTGGGATTACAGGCATGAACTACCATGTGTTGCCTAGTCAGTAGATTATAATCAGATCTTTCCTAGTTCTTCAGCTGATTGCTTAAGCCCCAAATGCCCTGTTAGCAGAGAGTCCCATTCCCTGGAATTATCCAGGAGCACTGTGCCTACCCAGGACCATTGCTGCACTGTATTTCCCTGCCTCCAAGTTGCTCTTGAGAATACCGGCCTGCCCATTCTGGCATGCCATTGTTAGTCCCATCCTAAGTCCCTTTCAAGGTGACTTCTGCTTTTACTAGTCTTTTTGTTCTGATTCTTTCATGCTCAGTCATTGTTCCCCAAAGCAGAACAGCTATGTCTGGGGCTCTGGGTCCAGGGGAGCTCCCTGCACTGAGAGCACACCAGGACAAGACCAGCCCTTCCCATAGACACTTAGGTTCTTCTGCTGAGCCTCTCTGCTCATGGCGTGGACACCTTATTACTCTAAAGATGATTTCATTTGAGGAATCAAGTTGTTCTACCTTGCCATCAGGTCATGGCTGAGGCCATCCTGCCCACTCCAACAGGTCTTCCCTACCTTAAATTTTGGGAAGCCTGGATTCTTTTTTGGATTCTTTTTTTTTTTTTTTTTTTTTTTTTTTTTTGAGACAGAGTCTCACTCTGTCACCCAGGCTGGAGTGCAGTGGTGCAATCTTGGCTCAGTGCAGCCCCCACCTCCTGGGTTTAAGCAATTTTCCTGCTTCAGCCTCCTGAGTAGCTGGGATTACAGGTGCCTGCCACCACGCCTATCTTGGCCCTGGCTTATTTATGCAAATTGATCCATCTCCTTCTAGAAGACTGGATCTGTTTTGGCAATAAGTTTCTCAAGGAGTGCCATCTTTGTTCAAAGTCAAAAAGGCACAATAAATTTTGTTGTAACTTCCATCTCTGTGAAATTTGCATACTGAAGGTTCATTTCCCTGAACAAAGAAGGTATATCCCAAAGTAATTACTCATCTCTAGCCCCAAATAGAAAAGGAAAATGTTGACATAATTGAGCCTCTCTATTCTGTTACATCAGTTCTGGGGACACTAACTCTAGTTCAACTCTTAATTAACAGATGGGGAAACTGAGGCCCAGAGGGTTGAGGGAACTTGTCTAAAGACAAAGAGCTAGGAGGTTGCAGATCCAGTGTGGAATCAGGTTGGCCTGACTCCTAATCCAGAACTCGTTCCACTGTTCCCTCAAACTTAAGACTTCCTGATTATGGCCACAGGTCATAAGTAAGAATCATCACATTCAATCAACCAGTATTTTATTTGACTGTGATTTTCTTTGAGAACACAAATATATGTAAGATATAGATTCTGCCCTTAAAGCCCTTATTATTTGTAGAAGGCAGTAAGATACACATAAAAAGTTACGCTAAATTGTAGAAAATGCCATGTGACCCCTATAAGAAGCAGAGACTGTTGGAACAACTTGGCATCTGGGTAGCTCAACATCACTTTTGTTAGGGAGCAGGCGTTTGAGCTGACTCTTGGAAGGATTTGGACAGAGAGAGGAGATTGAGAAAGAGGAAAAAAAAAGAACACTTCTAGGTAGGGGCATCTGGGGAATTGAGATAGAAAGAATAGGCTGGATAGGAATTGGGAAAAGGCCTTTTAAGCAATGGAGTTAGCATAAGCTCAGGGTTAGAGGTGTGAAATGCTTAGCATGTTTTGGGAAAGGTTGCTGGTTATCCATCGTGTCCAAGAAGGGCTAGAATAATGAGGGAGGATGACTCCTTCACCACATAACTGGGTGATCAGTGGAAGCATGCTGACCAGGGAGCACTCCAGAATGGCTGGGTTTTGATAACTTCATACATCTCAGCTCTATCTTCTGGATTCATCTCTGGGCCATATCTCTCAGGCATTGTTTAGGGTACTGTGAGTAGATCAAAGTTTCTGCTCTTGGCTCCATCTTTACTGAATTTACAACTCAATCCAAGCTCTGTCTCCATAATACCAAATATCTTAATACAGTGTGACAAAGATACAGCATTGTTTGGGTCATTTCAGGAAGAACATCTGGATATTTGAAAATATCTGGACAGTTTGCCAAAGAAAAGTAAAATAATACTTTGTATCTCAGAGTTTAGTATTATGGGACATAGACAATGTCTGAGTCACCAGTATGTCTTTTAGAATTTGGGAAATGCATTCCTTTGAAAAGAGAAGAAAATTGTCACCAGTAGTCCCACTTCTGTCTCTTGTTCACTTTCATCTTTCCTATTTGTTGCAGATATGACAAGCAATTACCCTTGAAATGTTACAGAACTAGATGGTTCACCTCTAATTGCTATTTCTCTAGGGAGAAAAAAAATAGGCCATCCCTTCTGTTTATTTAAAATTTAGTTTATTCATAAACCTGATATATATTTATTAGGCCCCTTCCTAGTTTGAGGCCCCATGTGTAACTTGAGAACAGAGATGACCAAGACACATGCCCTACTTTGCAGGAGATCACTGTCTCATAACCACGTCATCTTGTTTTTTGTTTGTTTTTTGGTGTGTGTTTTGTTTTGTTTTGTTTTTTTGAGATAGAGTCTCACTCTATTGCCCAGGCTGGAGTGCAGTGGCGTGATCTTGGCTCACTGCAGCCTGTCTGTCCTGGGTTCAAGCAGTCCTCCTGCCTCAGTCTCCTGAGTAGCTGAGTTTACGGGCATGAGCCACTATGCCTGGCTAAATTTTTTTTTTTTTCTTTTTTTTTTTTTATTTTTAGTAGAGACGGGGTTTCACCGTGATGGCCAGGCTGGTCTTGAGCTCCTGACCTCAGGTGACTTGCCTGCCTCAGCTTCCCAAAGTGCTGGGATTATAGGCATGAGCCACCGCACCTGGCCATCAGGTCATCTTAACCTGATTTAATCATGATTTCATTCGTTATTGCTGTTAAAATATTCTATTGTATGAATATACTGCAATTTATTTGTTCTTTAATTGATAGACAGCTGGTTGCTTCTGGTTTGGAGCTCTTATGAACAAAGGTGCTGTGAACATTCTAGAACATGGACTTGTAAAAATTCTGTTTAGAGTAGCTTTAAAAATAATCGCTGGTTTTGTTTTATTTTACTTTTTTGAGTTAAATTTGAATTTTCACATATGAATACACTCACATTCCTACCACCAGATCAAGGTATCGAACACTCCCAATACCCTCAAAGGCTCTCTTATGCCCCCTCCCAGTCAACACTCCACTCCCCATAACCCCTGTTTGGACTTCAATCACTGCAGAGTAAGTCTCCTGTTCTTAAACTTCCTGTAAATATGATTATATACAAATGGCTTCTTTTGCCCAAAAAAAAAAAAAAAAAAGATACAGCTATGCAGCTGAAATAGGCAATTGCTGGCAGGGCCTTTTTTTTTTTTTTTTTTTAACTTCCACTCCTCTGGTGAGCAGACAGTTATCGAATCCATCTCTGTGAATGCTTGTTATGGAGTGAATGACTTGGAAGCCAACAAAGGTTGAAGGGAAGGCCAGCTGGACCACCTCCCAGGGCACCAATCCATGGGCCAAATTTCCTGGGCATGAATTGGAAATATGGAGGTCATTTATTTAGAAATCTGGGTGCAACACTTTACTTAATTGGCAAAATGTAAATTGGTCCTTTTCTCACCCAAGACAAAACGTCTTTGAGTGGAAGTTTAAAAAAAAAAAAAAAAAGGCCCTGCTAGCAATTGCCTATTTCAGCTGCATAGCTGCATATATTTTTTTGACATGCTCAGGCAAAAGCAGTCAGCTGAGACTCTGGAATCAAAGAGTTTGTTGATGTAGTGTTCTTTATCTTAGTGATTCATTTCATTATCTCAATTTAAGCCCTTTAGTAATTCTCTCAAAAAGTTACTTTGCTTCAGAAAATCACAAAAGACAACTGGAGGTAGTTTCAGAACCACAGAAAAATAGGAAATGTCTTTCTTTTTTTAGAGACTGGGTCTTGCTTTCTCACCCAGGCTAGAGAGCAGTGGGACAATCATAGTTCACTGCAGCCTCCAACTTCTGGGCTCAAGCAGTCCTCTCACTGAGGCCTTGCAATGTGCTGGGACTACAAGTGAGGGCCACCTTTCCTGGTCCTCCCCTCTTTTTTTTCTTTTCTTTTCTTTTTTTAAATGAACATAGAATCTCTTTTGGTCTTGGGAGTGAATTATCAGGAGACTCTTTTATTGAATATAATTTGTATTAAAAGAAAATAATTGTTTTTTTCATCCCCCTTAAAAAAAAGTTGAACATTGGCTGGGTGTATGGTGGGTCACACCTGTAATCCCAGCAGTTTAGGAAACCGAGGCAGGAGGGTTGCTTGAGCTCAGGAGTTCAAGACCAGCCTAGGCAACATTGCAAGACCTCGATTCTACTAAAAATAATAATAATAAAAAACTTAGCTGGGTGTGGTGGCGTGTACCTGTGGTCCCATCTACTTGGGAGGCTGAGGTGGAAGGATTGTTTGGGAGATTGAGGCTGCAATGAGCTCTGATTGTGCCACTGCACTCCACCTTGGGTGACAGAATGAGAACGTGTCTTTAAAAAAAATGTTGAAAGGGCATTTGAAGAAAATTGTTTGATGGTGTCACAAATTGTAATCTTACCAGTCCTTACCCCCTACCCCAAGAAGATTAATGTAATCCTAACGGATTTTTCAATGAGGTGAGAACACATGGAAGAGAAAGTGGGCTTGCTCATTTCTGGTTAGAGGGGCAGCTGTGATTGGCAGAAGGGCCGAAGAAGATCAAGTTTGGGAAGGCAGGCTGCAGAGCGGTGCTTTTTTACCTTGCCTGCACTTTGGAATTGTATGAGCAGTCCCTAAGGCTGCTGATGGCTTGTAGACTGGGTATGGGTTGTGTTCAAGCTCCCCAGTTGATTACAGAAACAGCCAGGTGGAAGGTTGCTGCTTAGGAAATGGCCCAGCAGCTAGGAGAGGTATTTTTCCTGAAGAGGATTCCAGGGCCCTGGTTCTCAAAGTCTGTTCCCCAGACCAACAGCATCAACATCACTTGGGAACTCGTTAGAGAAGCATATTCCTGGGTTCCACCCCAGACCTGCTGAATCAGAAATCTAGGGATAGAGAGGCCCAGCAATCTGCATTTAATAGGCTCTCCAGGTGCTCCTCACACACTAAAGTTTGATAATGACTGATGTAAGGAAAGGTGGCCTTTATGAGAAGCTGGGGAGGGGAAAGCAATGTAATGGTGATGCAAGGGAGTGAGGCACGCTCCCATCAGGTTGCAGAGACAGCAACCTGGAAGGACTTTCCCTAAGGAACAGACAACAAACACAAGGGGAGTACTCGAGGGGAATGAAAGCAAGATCTAGAAAGGTCAGACTTCACACAGAATGATGCCAACTGGTCCTCTTCCTCACCTAGGAACCTGCCATTGCCTCTTGGCTACACTTAGGGCACTTAGAGCAGTTTTCTCAGCTAAGTGGCTGATGGTGAATGTGACACACTTTGTGCAGGGGGCTCTGGGCTGCTGTGGTGGTCTGAGAAACAAGGCCAGGGTTTCCCCTTGCAGTAGAAAGAGGGGATTCATGTCCCTATTCTGCAGTTGTTCCGCCCCAGTGCAGCAAGGATGACCTCTTTGCTTTCTGTCTTGCTTTCACTTCTGCCTTCCCCTCTGACTCACACACAGCACGGTGGCTCTGAGGACAGTTGTCCTTTTCCTTGGAAGAGTCAGAGATTTAGAATTAATGACTTTATGGAGGGCATAGTGAAGGTGAACTCTGCACCAGGGAATTTGTTTGGCTTACTTGATATAGTACCATTTAACAAATATTTCTAGTGTGCCTACTCTGCATCAGAACTTGGGCCAGTCGCACCAGGAAAACAGAGAGAGGACACACAGGCCTGGCCTTTAGGAAGCTTATGAAGATATTTGCTGGTGGAGGAGAAAAATCATAGATCAATGTCTTCTGCCTGAAAGGTGCTATCATTAGAGCAATCTTTTAGGTTTATACACAGATCAGGACATGTTTGATAGCAAAAGTGTGAGCTACTAACAGTTATGCTAAGAAAACAGGCATCAAGTGAGATTCTCCGGGAAGACTCAACTGGAAGCATGGCCATCATCGCCATGCTGTGCAGAGCCTGCAGTGTTGGCCAGTAGTGGTTTAGCCCACAACCTAGGGCTAAACCCCACTTTGTGTGTTGCCCCTCCGAAGCTCCCTCGTATGTACCACACTTCACCCCATACCAGCTTTTAGAATTAGCAGCTATCGTAGAGGGAGGCAGCATGTCCCACCCCATACGGAGTACCATGCCACTCCTGTGAGGACCCAGCTGTGGTTCTGACCCTCAGGTGTAATGCCCAGGCTTCTTTCTTGGCCACCGTCCCAGCTCTCCTTCATATTCTGAGTGTGCAACACTGGGCATGTTACAAAATTTCTTGGATCCTCATCTCTTTCATCCATTAAATGGTACTCCAATTTTATAGAAATTTGTTGGATCTGGAGGGTCCATTTACGCTGGTTTTCGGTAGACATCTTTTCTCCTCTTAAGGTCAAAGTTAAATGCCTGCATTATTATTATACTGTGTCTTTTGTGAAGATGTCCACTGAATTTGGACGTCAATTTCCCCCACTTAATGCCTACACACGATGTGTGAGCATCACTAAAACTGACCTAAAATTATTTTTCTGGTTCCAACAAACATTTCTTGAGTGCTACGTTCCAGGCAGTGAACTAGGTGCTCTAGCACTTTCAAGCTCTTTTATCTTTTTAAATTTTAATTAATTCATAAATTAATTTATGTATTTTTGAGACAGATCTCACTCTGTCACCCAGGCAGGAGTGCAGTGCCTCCATCTCAGGTCACTGCAACCTCCGCCTCCCGGGTTCAAGTGATTCTTGTGCCTCAGCCTCCTGAGTAGGTGGGATTACAGGCAAGTGCCACCACGCCTGGCTAATTTTTATGTTTTTAGTAAAGACGAGGTTTCTTCATGTTAGCCAGGCTGGTCCTGAACTCCTGGCCTCAAGTGATCTGCCCACCTCAGCCTCCCAAAGTGCTGGGATTACAGGCATGAACCACTGCACCCAGGCCTTCTTTTATCCATTAAAAAAAAATGTATTGCATCTATTTAACATTTTTTATCTTAAGCCTCACAATGACCTTATGATGTAAATGATAATTAAGCTCATTTTACAGATGAGGTAAAACAACTTCCCCAAGATACACACTGCAGACAGCAAGTCTGGGTCTTCTGACTCCCCATCAGGCACCTGATCCAAGACTTCACAGCTACAAAATCAAGAGACAAGGGCTGGGTGCAGTGGCTCACGCCTATAATCCCAGGACTTTGGGAGGCTGAGGCGGGCAGATCACGAGGTCAGGAGATCGAGACCATCCTGGCTAACACGGTGAAACCCTGTCTCTACTAAAAATACAAAAAAATTAGCCAGGCGTGGTGGCGGGTGCCTGTAGTCCCAGCTACTCAGGAGGCCGAGGCAGGAGAATGGCGTGAACCCAGGAGGTGGAGCTTGCAGTGAGCCAAGATCCGGCCACTGCTCTCCAGCCTGGGTGACAGAGCAAGGCTCCGTCTCAAAAAAAAAGAAAATCAAGAGACAAGAATAGAAAGATCATAATTTTGAAAGGACTTACTTAAGTACATTACAAAATTCTTTATCACGCTGACATGCTAGGGAGAATCACTTGTCTTAATAAAAGCACCATGCCATGGCCAAAAAACTATATAAAATAGCAAAGTCTCATAATCTCTTAATATTGGTATCACCTGGCAGCTTGTTAGAACTGGAGAACCTCAGGCCCTATTTTGCACCTACTGAATCAGAATCTGCATTTTAACAAAACCCCTAGATCTTTAAAAATGTCAAAGTCTGAAAGGCACTCTGGTTTTCATAGGCACAGGAGAGACCCTTCTAAGGGATCTTAGAAAGTTAGAGGTAGGACAAGGGAACTGATTTAATTAGCAGTGTTAGATAGACTAATCAATCCTGGCCGAATGAAATAAACATCTGGGAAGTTTTTTGTTTGTTTGTTTGTTTGTTTTTTAATGCCTTTCAAGCCCCACCCCATACCAATTCCATTAGATTCTCTGGGACTGGGCCCGGGTTGGTATTTTAAAAATTCCCCAGGTGATTCCTACGTGCAGCCGTGGGTAGGGAGTATTGACCGACTGGGTTCTAGGCATTTTTCACTTGATCTCATTTAATACTAAAAAAAAAAATCAACTTATTTTGCTCATTTTGCATATAAGACAACTGAGGTTGCAAGCAGACCAGCAGTGAGTAAATTGTAGAGCTGGAATTCTAGCCCAGATCTCTCTGGCCCCAAGTCCTGAGTCCTGACCGACTCAGGGAAATAAGCTGCCTCTGGCTGGCTACTTACCCAGGGTTCTTCCGAACCCTTCCAAACTCTCCCACATCTCCACTTAGCTGCATGTTTCATTCTTCAAGGCCAATTTTCTCAGCAAAGCAGTTTCCCATCACCTGAATCCAAACTGATGTCTTTCTGCCGCACTCCTGCCATGCTCAGTCATGGACAGCTGGTGACCTCTTAGTGGCTCAGAGTTGAAGTGTATGAAAATGTCCCACCCAGCCCAGGGGGCCAGCAGGTCCTTTCTGTGCTCAGAGCAGACAAGCACCACAGACAAGCACCCTGCCAATCAATTGCTGATTATCTCATCTCATGCAATCCACTCCTGACTTTGCTCATTTCCAAACATCAGAAACCTTTCCTGGAGGCAACTTCCCATCCCCTCACCAGCAAGGGCCTGTTGCATGACTGTTGCTCCACAGATCCAGTTTTTGAAAAGAGTTTGACCACCAGACAAATAATATTTAGTGAATGATGGTTGATTTTACTTTAAAAATCAATCACATCACTCAGAGTTCCTTTCACCTGAGAGCTAACTAGAGCTTCAGGCTGATTTGATGCACTTTATACCTCTTGGCCTGGACTTCTGGCATGTTTTTCATTTCCGAACATCCTTCCTCCCTATTGCCCTGTCTTCTCCTAGCCACTTCACACTTTAGCTCCAATCAATGCCAGTTGCTCTGGGAATTGATCCCAAATTCCTAGGCTATGTTGATGCAACTCCTTTGTGTCTCTATTAGTCTGTTCTCACACTGCTAATAAAGACATAACTAAGACTAGGTAATTTATAAAGGAATGAGGTTTAATAGACTCAGTTCCACATGGCTGGGGAGGCCTCACAATCATGGCGGAAGACAAGGGAGGAAAAAAGACACATCTTACATGGTGGCAGACAAGAGAGTGTGTGCAGGGGAACTGCCCTTTATAAAACCATCAGATCTCATGAGACTTATTCACTATCACGATAACAGCACTGGAAAGACCTGCCCCCATTATTCAATTATCTCCCATGGGTCCCTCCCACTACATGTGGGAATTATGGGAGCTACAATTCAAGATGAGATTTGGGTGGGGATACAGCCAAACCATATCAGTATCCCACAGCAGCAAAGTCCCTCTGTTCATTAATGATCATTTTTTTTTGTATCTTAATTATCTTTTAGTAAATGAAGTAATACTTGTTTAGCACCTAATACTTGCCTGGCCCATTATAAGGGTTCAATAAACTTTAACTACAATTATTTTTTATCTATATCGTCTGCCCTTCCTCACCTCCAGCAAGCATTCTTTGAGTGCTAACTATCTTCCAGACACTGAAATAGGAGCGTACCGAGGCTCTTTTATCTTAAGCACTACTATAATCTTGTATGTCCTGCTAGGCCTATTTTACAGGTGAGGCCAAACAAATTCTTCAAGCTACATAGCTCAGAAACAGCAAGACCGTTTCTGCCCTGAGATAAGGAGCAAGCAACTTGAGGCAAAGACTTAGCTCACAATCACAGAGAGCAAGCCTGGACTCATGAAATAATTTGGGGATTCAGGCCCAGGATTAGGGTTAGGCTATAAGGCCATTATGCAAATACAGAGTTAGATCTTGTCTTTGTTTAAAATTTTGATATTTTCTTCATCTGATTTTTTGCTTTAATTTTTTTATTTACATTTTTAAAAATTTATTTTTATTTTTTATTTTTTGAAATGGAGTCTCACTCTGTTGCCAGGCTAGAGTGCAGTGGCACGATCTCGCCTCACTGCAACCTCTGCCTCCTGGGTTCAAGTGATTCTCCTGCCTCAGCCTCCCAAGTAGTTGGGACTACAGGCGCGCACCACCATGCCCAGCTAATTTTTGTATGTTTAATAGAGACAGAGTTTCACCATGTTGGCCAGGATGGCCTTGACCTCTTGACTTCGTGATCTGCCCACCCGGCCTCCCAAAGTGCTGGGATTACAGGCGTGAGCCACTGCGCCTGGCAATTTGTATTTTTAAAAGCACTGCATTACAAGATTATTTTATCTTGATTACTGAGTTTTGGCACTCCTTTAAATTTTGTGCCTGAATCCAGTGTCTCACCCTGGTTTCCCTAGTCCTGGCCCTGAGAGGACATCCATACAAGGCAGGATTTGACTTGATACGCAACGTAGTCACTCACTGCCTGCTCCCCTGGCTCAGTGTGGGTTTGTATTAATAAACTTCATGGTCACATCTCAGGCCTTTCTGCTTCTCAGTAACTTGTTCAGGCTTCCCCTGCTCTGTGAAACCCTGATCAGTACCCAGCCCTCTCCTTCTGCCCAGGGCCTGGTCAGGGCTATTTAGCACCAAAAATGTGTTGAGTAATGCTCCCCAATGTCCTCCAAGGCAAAGACTTTGGCTTTCTTTTTTTTTCTTTTTTCTTTTTTTTTGCCCATGCAGCCTTTTGGAGGATAAATGAACACATTCCTTTGGACTTTGTAAAATGCTGATGAAAACTTCTGGATCTCATGTCACCTTGGCACAATCCTTCCTGGCCTATTGCCTTCAGTTGCCTACTGTCCTCATGCCAGCTGGGATCTGGAATATCAATGCATGTCATAATTGGCCTGTGTTTAGCACTTATTATTGTGAGAAACCCAAAGAATGGACTTAGAGGCACAAAGAACAGCAAAAGTGAGACTTTTAATAATAGTCTTGCAAGATCGGGTGTCTGGTAGACAGGCACACACAGGCAGCTACAGAAGATAATTTATCTTTTAGCATGCAAGTCCCTCCCCCAGTTCCTTATTGGTTGAGTACTATGGGGTTACAATTTTCCTGGATGTTGCCTAAGTTTCATTACACCCCTTGTAAGGTTAGACCCCATCCCCTTTCCCGCTTAAGTTTTGATTTCACAATAACAAAACTTTTTTCCCTTTTATGGACTGACCCCTCCTCTACATTCTGTTTGCTTATTGTGACCTCCTAGGTGCATGAGCCATTTGGTTTGTCACATTCGCAGGCTGGCTGCCAGTACTTACATTTATCATGCCTTGAAAATGGACCATTTTAAATGTTTTCTCACATTATGTAACAGGCACCACCTAAGATCTTTACATACACAGTTGTACCTTGGTATCCATGGGGGATTGGTTCTAGGATCCCCCCGAGGATACCAAAATTCATGGATGCTCAAATCCCTGGTATAAGATGATGTAGTATTTGCATACAACCTATGCACATCCTCCAGGATACTGTAAATCATCTCTAGATTACTTACAATACCTAATGCAATGTACATGCCATGTAAATACTTGTTCTTTTTTTTTAATTGTTGTATTTTTTTATTTACTTTTTTTCAAATATTTTTGATCTGCAGATGGTTCAATCCGGGGATACAGAACCAATGGATACTGAAAGTCAACTGTATTTACCCAGTTAATCCTCATAACAAACTTATGAGATGACTATTACTATTAATCCCATTTCACAGATGAGAAAACTTGGGCAAAGAAAGAAAAGTAATCCTTGAAGAGTCACATAGTTAATAAATGGAATAGCTGAGATTGGAACCCAGGCAGTCTGGCTCTGGAGCCCACTTTCTGTCTACTACTATCTCTTCCTGCTGCTGGTAGATGAGTCCTTAAGCCATTGAGGAAAGCCTGGGAAGTTGCTTTATTTTACTCTAGCTTGGGGTGGGTTTATATGAAATGAACTATGTTGAGGATGGAACTGTAAACTCCTCTGTTATAGGTTGAATGGTGGCCCCCTAACATTTATATGTTGAAGCCCTAACCCTCAGTTTCTCAGAATGTGACTGTATTTGGAGACAGAGTCTTTAAAGAGGTAATTAAGTTAAAATAAGTCCATTAGGGTGGGCTCCAATTCAATATGATTGGTGTCCTTACAAGAAGAGAGAATTTGGACACAGGTACAAAGGGAAGACCGTGTGAAGACATAGGAAGAAGATGGCTATCTTGGTCCCTTTGGGCTGCTATAACAAAATACCATAGACTGGTATTTACAGCAGAAATTTATTTCTCACATTTCTGGAGGCTGGGAAGTCCAAGATCAAGGCATCAGCAGATTCAGTGTCTCGTGAGGGCCCACTTTCTAGTTCACTGACAACACCTTCTTGCTGTGGCTTCATGTAGTAGAAAGGATGAGAAGTCTCTCTGGAGCCTCTTTTACAAGGGCACTAATCCCATTCACAAGGGCTCCACCCTCATAACCTAGTCACTTTCCAAAGTCTCCACTTCCAAATACCATCACCTTGAAAATTAGGATTTCAGCATATGAATTGGGGGTGGGAGAGGTATACAAATAAAAACCATAGCAACAGCTATCTACAAGCCACAGAGAGAGGTCACAGAATGAAGCAACCTTGCCGACACCTTGTTCTCAGACTTGTAGCCTCCAGCGCTGTGAGAAAATAATTACCATTGTTTAAGCCATCCAGTTGATGATATTTTGTTATGGCAGCCCTAGAAAACTAATACAATCTCCAAAGCATAGATCCAAGTGAGATACAGAAATGCTTGGAAAACATGCTTGGGCTGAAGCTTGCTGACACATTGCTTGCTCCTTCAGCCTCTCTCATTAGAGCTGCAGCCAATGCCCCTCCGAGACTCCAAGGAGCAAGGGAGCAGTCATCTGTGGTCACAGTTTTCTTTTCTCATCTCCCTGGAATGCATATTCTCTGCCCCTTTCTACCCCTGTCAACCTTGTTAGGCCTCCATTACCTTTGCCTGGATGACTGTGCCATTGGTCAGGCTGCCCTTCTTCCTCCCATGCACTTCATTCAAAGCTTTCAGTTTAATTTTCTGAAAACATAGCTCTAATCATGGAAGTCATGCTCCTACTCTAAAACCTTTCTTGGCTCTCCGTTTCTTTTTTTTTCTTTTTTCTTTTTTTTTTTTCGATGGAGTCTTGCTCTGTTGCCCAGGCTGGAGTGCAGTGGCGCGATCTCGGCTCACTGCAAGCTCCGCCCCTCCAAGTTTAAGCAATTCTCTGCCTCAGTCTCCAGAGTAGCTGGGATTACAGGCGCATGCCACCACGCCCAGCTAATTTTTTTTTTAGTAGAGATGGGGTTTCATCATCTTGGCCAGGCTGGTCTTGAACTCCTGACCTCGTGATCCACCCGCCTCGGCCTCCCAAAGTGCTGGGATTACAGGCGTGAGCCACTGCGCCCGGCCAGCTCTCAATTTCTTAAAGAGCAAAACCAAATTCCTCAGCTTGCTTTGATCTGCCACACATCCAGGACTCAGTGGGACCTGACACTCCATCTCTTTCCATACCCATCACTGGGGTTCAAAGGCAACCACCTGCAATACCTCTCATGTTCCTACTGCTTTCCTGTCCCTATACCTTTGCTCACTCTGTTCCCTCTTCCTAGAATGCCCTTCTCTCCCTTTGCATGTTTGAATCCTATTGATTTCCCAAGCACAGCTGAAATTCCATCTCCTCCATGAGGCATTTGCATCCCTGGCTGTTATCTCTTCCTTTTCTCAGATCTCACCACATCATCTCTCATGGCTCCTAAGTTCTTTACATTATATCGTTGACCTTTGAACAACACAGAGGCTAGGGGCACCGAATCGCCACACAGTTGAAAATTCCCATATAATTTTTGAGTCTCTAAAAACTTAACTGCTAATAGCCTACTATTGACCAGAAGCCTTTTTGGTAACTTAATCAGTAAATTAATATCTATTTTGTATGTTACATTATTATATATCACATTCTTAATTCCAAAGTAAGCTAGAGAAAATAAAATGTTATTAAGAATCATAAAGAAGAGGCTGGGCCTGGTGGCTCACTCCTGTAATCCTAGCACTTTTGCAGTCCAAAGTGTATTACTTGAGGACAGGAGCTCAATACCAGCCTGGCCAACATGGTGAAACCCCATCTCCATTAAAAATGCAAAAATTAGCCAGACGTGCTCGCCTGAACCCAGGAGGCAGAAGTTGCAGTGAACCAAGATTGTGCCACTGTACTCCAGCCTGAGTGACAGAGCAATACTCAGTCTCAAAAAAAAAAAAAAAAAAAAGGATCATAAAGAAGAGAATGTATTTATTTCTTAAGTGGAAGTGGATCATCATAAATGTATTTATTCTCAATGTCTTCATATTAATTAGGCTGGGGAAGAGAAGGAAGAGAAGGGGTTGATCTTGCTGTCTTAGAGATGGCAGAGGTAGAAGAAAATCCACATGTAAGTGGACCTATGCAGTTTAAACCCATGTTGTTCGAGGGTCTGCTGTAGTTATTTATGCATGTGCTCCACCCTAAACCCCTCCCACATTTGCATACCTATGGGGTGCTTTCTGGAAGGGAAGCAGCATGGTGGCTTAGAAAGGGAATGACACATAGAGCTAGAGAACCTGTGTGTCCAATCCTGTGTCAGCCAATTGTTAACCACAGTAGGATGGGGACCCTTATCCCTTAAAGCTTGAGTAGCCAGCACATAGGAATTCAGAAAAATCATCTATAAGCAGGTGGGCAAATCATTTCATCTATCTGAGGCTTAGCTTCTTCATCGATAAAATGGGGAAAAGGATCCGGCATGGTCACTTATGCCTATAATTCCAGCACTTTGGGAGGCCAAGTTGGGAGGATCACTTGAGGCTAGGAGTCCAAGACCAGCTGTGCATAGTGAACCAGCCTGGGAGTTCATAGTGAACTCCCATTTAAAAAATAAAAGTAGCTGGGCATGGTGGCTCACGCCTGTAATCCCAGCACTTTGGGAGGCCAAGGCAGGTGGATCACGAGGTCATGAGTTCAAGACCAGCCTGGCCAGTATGGTGAAACCCTGTCTCTACTAAAAATACAAAAATTAGCCAGATGTGGTGGCACTTGCCTGTAGTCCCAGCTACTTGGGAGGCTGAGGCAGAAGAATTGCTTGAACCTGGGAGGCGGAGGTTGCAGTGAGCCGAGATCATGCCACTGCACTGCAAACTGGGTGACAGAGCGAGATTCCGTCTCAAAAAAGATAAAAATAAAATGAGATAGAGACAAAAACAATGATAAGCATACAAGCATATAGGACAATATTGATGAAAAGTATTTTGCAAAGGAGAAATTCTTTATAAATTTTATTTGAGTGTTCTACTAGAGATTAGTGATGTCTCCATCAACTAAACCACTCATTTCCTATAAAACCATGACGCTCCACTACATTTTCTAATTTAGCCAATATAGTAGTCCCTTCTTTTCCATAGTTTTGCTTTCTGCAATTTTGGCTACCTGAGTCTGAAAATATTAAATGGAAAATTCCAGAAATAGGCAATTGGTAAGTTTTAAATTGTGCACTGTTCAGAGTAGTGTGATGAAATTTCATGCCATCCTGTTCTGTCCTGCCTGGGATGCAAATCATCCCTTTGTCCAGCATATACATGGTATGGACACTACCCTGCTATGAGCCACTTAGGAGCTGTATTTGTTATCAGATCACCTGTTGAGGCATCACAGTGCTTGGGTTCATGCAAACCTTATTTTACTTAATAATGTCCCCAAAGGGCAAGTGATGTTGGCAATTTGGATATGACAAAGAGAAGCTGTAAAGAACTTCCTTTAAGGGAAATGCTGAAAGTTCTCAATAGAGAAAGAAAAAAAATTGTATGTTGAGGTTGCTAAGATCTACGGTAAAAACAGGACTTCTATCTGTATAATTGTGAAGGAGGAAAAAGAAATGTGTGCACAGTATATACAGGTTTCAGTCATCCACTGGGGGTCTTGGAACATATCTTCTGAGGATTATGGGGGAGTACTGTAATAAGTGCATGATGTGTTTCAGCTACTCTGCTAGGTGTGGTCCCTCATTTAATCCTCCCAATGGACTTAGAAAGGAGGTGGTGCAGTTATTATTCCCATGTTACAGAAAACCAGGGCTTCTGACATGCCTGAGCTAGGTCCCAGCCTCTCCCATACAGCTTCAGGAAGTCATTGGGACCCAGGGAGAATTGAACTGGGCTGGAAGGGAAGAATCAGGAAACTCAGCCTTGATGGGTTAAATTGGAGCAATGCCTCTAACTGGATAGTCAGATTGATTTCCAAGATTTGTTAGGGCTGTGATTCCTCAGCTGGGCTGGACATAATCTTGCATCTCAGTCTTCATGTGCCTGGCTGGTGACTGTGAGGATTTAGAATTTCTGGGCCTGAGCTGGCAGTGGTCTCCCAGAGCCAGGAGTTGGGGTAGCACTGATGAGTCGATAATTAGGACACTTCTTTCAGCTGAAGATAAAGTCCAGAGCCTCAGTCCAGCCATTATCCTGCCAACCCTAATAGAGCCAGATTGATGGATACGGCAAGGAGGGAATTGGGAACATTCTTGTGCACACTATATCACACTCGATAACCGCCCATGCACAATGTAGGACTCATACGCCATAACAAAATCCATTTTGAAACAGCTCTGGGTGCGTCAGCCAGCTGCAAAGCATCTAAAGTATCCCTGACATTTGGGCTTTGGGAGAATGCGGTGAATGGAGAGCAAATGCGCATGCACACACACAAGCCAAGAGAACTCTATCGTAAGGAAAACAGATGCTAGCATCACAACCCACCGTACATCTTATACTGTATTTTTGCAAACACACTAATCCTTCTTGTTAGACAAGAACAGAAACCCCCGAAATGCTTTCCATATGTCCCATTGTCTTCCTGGCCCTTTAATTCTATCTCAAAACCCCCCAACTTAGCAACCTTCATATTCATGCTAAACATATTACATCAGTTCTAACATTGATATGTTTAATATGAATACAATTAAAGTTGCTTCATTATAATCCCGTTAAGATAAACAGCATTGCTATTATTATAAACATTCCTACAAGGCCTCTTGTAAAATATTATCAATACTAATAGAAATTTCCCCCACCCCACATACTTGGACTAAACAATGCCACTGCCTTCCTACTAGTAACAAATATGTCCAATGATTTAAACATCGGTGCATCCAATGTAAACACCATTATAGCTAATGTAAAACAGTTGCCCGGCCCAGCAAATCCTCCACCAGAAAGTTGCTGAAGAAAAAGAACAGTTTCCTCGGCAAGAATGCGTTACAGCCTGCTGGTGACATTTGCAATAGATTACTTAAGCCTATAAAGAAATGAAAATTGCAGGCCCAGTTTGAGCCAGAAATGATGAAATTGGAGAGCACAGGCTAAGTACAGTGTGGCACAGACTGGCTGCTGCCCAGGGTCTGCAAGCCCTGCGTGGGTTGGAGTGCACCTTGTTGAGTCTGTGCATGCACGGCCTCTGACACATCATGTCCTTTCAGTATTGCATTCAGTTCAGTGTTGATTCGGTATTGCATTCAGAGGCCTGCATTCAGTACATGGCCTCCACACGGGTAGGCATGAAGCTGAAGACTGACCTTTTCACAGCTGGAGTGCTCACCAAAGCTGTGTGAGTGTGAACACGTGGGTGCATTTCTCCCTATAATGACCATGCCTGGTGATATGGTTTGGCTGTGTCCCCATCCAAATCTCATCTTGAACTGTAGCTTCCATAATCCCCACATGTCATGGGAGGGACCCAGTGGGAGGTAATTGAATCATGGGGGTGGGTTTTTTCCCATGCTGTTCTCATGATAGTGAATAAGTCTCATGAGATCTGATGTTTTTATAAAGGGCAGTTCCTCTGCACATGCTGTCTTGCCTGCCGCCATGTCAGACATGCCTTTTCTCTTCCTTTGCCTTCCGCCATGATTGTGAGGCCTCCCCAGCCATGTGGAACTGTGAATTCATTAGACCTCTTTTTCTTTATTGATTACCCAGTCTCGGGTATTTCTTCATAGCAGTATGAAAATGAACTAATACCCCTGGGCAGCGTGGCAAAGAACAATGCCACGCTTTGTTCTTTGATTCTGTGTTCAGTATGAGGATTCTGCCTCATACTGTGGTGATCTTTCTCCTTCAGATTACAGAGAAGGCCAGGGTTTTAGGGAGGACACCTGCTAGACCCTTCTGCAGAGTCAAAGCAGGATTATCTTTTATTCATCTGATGTTTATCTCACCTGGTGCCTCTAAAATCAGCACACAACAAGCCTCGGCCATGTTCACATCAAGCTCTTGTTTCATTCTTGCCTCTCTCTCCCTTTCTATCCACTTCCATGATTTATTGGCTCCTCACCTGTTGTTTACATCTCTTATTTCTGGAAACTTCTTGGATGTGGTTCCAATGATTCTATTCTTACTCACTTTTTTAAAATAAATCACTCAACCCCACTCCTGCAAAATACCCAAATTCATCAAGCTCTGGCTTCAGGGACCTCTGAAAGGTGATCCCAGTAAGAAGCATTTGAAAACTTTCACCCTCTCTCACTCAGTTGCAGACATCCTCAATGTGACACTGTGAATCAGTGGTCCTGACTTCTCATTGCCCCTCAAGGGGTCTCCCCAGAAAATTTCCAGAGGGCAGTCTTACCCTTTGGGGCTAAGCTCTGTGACATCTATGACATTGTCGCCAGAATTATAAGTTTCTGTCCTGATACAGAGAAAGGAAAATAACATTTTCTAATTATTTCTACTTAAAATATTTTAATCTAAATTAACCACCTCTGCCTTAAACAATTTTTAAGGAAATGTAAGTAATGTTTTCCATTGATGACAGAACTTGTCTACAATCAAGCAATTCTCATTTTCTTGGTGTGACTGTGAGAACAAGAATCGGTATGTGTCCTTCAAAAATATCACTCCTAGGCTGGGCGCAGTGGCTCACGCCTACAATCCCAGCACTTTGGGAGGCTGAGGGGGGCAGATCACTTGAGGTCAGGGGTTCGAGACCAGCCTGGCCAACATGGTGAAACCCCATCTCTACTAAAAATAGAAAAATTAGCCAGACATGGTGGCGCACACCTGTAATCCCAGCTACTCAGGAGGCTGAGGCAGGAGAATCGCTTGAACCCAGGGGGCAGAGGTTGCAGTGAGCTGAGATTGTGCCATTGCACTCCAGCCTGGGTGACAGAGACTCTGCCTAAAAAAAAAAAATAGATAAATAAATAAGTAAATATCACTCCTGCACATGTACCCTGGAACTTTAAAAATAAAAATTAAAAAAAAATCACACATTGGGAAGTTCATCTGGCACTTAGAGTTCAGTGATGTTCAGGGTTCCAGTTTTGGTACTATTAACATTTAGGGCCAGATACTTTGTTGTAGGGGACTATCCTTCACAATGTATGAGATTTATTTATTTTTGAGACAGGGTTTCACTCCGTTGTCCAGGCTCGAGTGCAGTGGCGCTATCTCGCTATCTCGGCTCACTGCAACTTCTGCCTCCTGGGGTCAAGCAATTCTCCTGCCTCACCCTCCTGAGTAGCTGGGACTACAGACACACACCACCATGCCTAGCTAATTTTTCTATTTTTTTGTAGAGACAGGGTTTCGCCATGTTGCCCAGGCTGGTCTTGAACTCCTGAGCTCAAGCAATCCACCTGCCTCTGCCTCTCAAAGTGCTGGGATTACAGACGTGAGCCACTGCGCCCGGCCTACAACGTATGTTATTTAGCTTAATACCTGGCCTCTACCTATTAAATGTCAGTAGCACCTGCAACTCACCCCCCAACCCTGACGTTATAAAAATCATAGATATCTGCCGACATGGTCAAATGTCCCCTGAGGAAGCAAAATCTTACCTCTTCCCCACAGCTGAGAACCACTGAGCAATTTGCATGAATCAAAGCATCTAACAAATGAGTGAAGACAAATTGAGATGTAAATTCTTTTTCCCTTGCTTACTGCCTATGTGGTCTTATTAGGCAAGAAACTTAGTTTATCTGAGCCTCAGTTTCCTTATCTGTACAGTGGGATTGATAATATCTATGTAACAGGGGTTGTAGGAAACCACCTAGGTTTTATGTATGTAAATTCATGATGTCAAATTTATGGCAGCTGTGATTCTCACTGGGGCCCCCTCATTAGGCACCTCCTCCTTGAATGAGCCTATGGCAGCCCAGAGCATAAACAGGGTGTTCTCATTTCCCCAGAGTCTAGAAAGATGGGGAGTTGGAATTCCATTCCAGCTAAACATCATGTTTTTAATGCTGGGCAACTCTTTCCTAATAAAATCCAAAACCACGTAAACACCAGTATAGTTTTCAATTTGTAGTCAGATTAGACGCCAGGAGCGTTTGGTTCAATTTTATTTTATTTTATTTTTTAAGTGATATCTTTACAGTGGATTTGAAAGCAAGCTTTACAGTGGATTTGAAAGCAAGCTGCCTCTCTGGAGAAGTGTAAGTTTTGGAAAGCAAGTTTCCCTGGAATGTTTCAGCTTTAATCAGGGTAGATGGAAGAAAAAAATAAAAAGGTGGTTAAGCCACATGACAGAATATCTGGACCTCGATTCATCAGCTCATTTAGGAAGCTCTCTATGGAGCAAAATATGCACAGAAAGGAGGCTTTGTGTCATTCTAAAAGCTATTTTATGTCCTTGGAAAGGCAGGTGTGTGTTAATATTTATACTCTTCGAGTGTTCTGTTTTAAGTGTCACATACTGCAAATGTATCTCCAAAGTCACTCCAGGAAAAAAAAAAAGTCATTTTATTGGGGAACGGGGCATAGTTCCCCAATTCCCACATCCTCATTGTCTGTGAAGCTCACAATTTGTATCGTTCTATCACTGTGGTTACCAATAGCAGAGAGCTCCTACTTCGCATCCATTGAGCATTCCTGTTGAACCCTGGGGATCCAGGGATAAATGGTGAAGTTTCCTACCCCTGGGGGCCACAGCCTGGCGGGGTGGGTGGGAGAACAGACTCCCTAGAGAGCCTGAGCCTGCTCTTTCTCTTTTCTGTGACAAGGAATTAAGTCTCAAGGGGTGGCTTGGGGTGAAATTGTTCTTTTTCTCTCTGAAGTTCTGGGAAGAGCTGAGCTCTGAGCTCCACTGGAGCGCAGGGATCAAGGTACAGAGGTTCCTGTCACAGGGCCAAACCCGAGGCCAAACTCTGTGTGTGTGTGTGTGTGTGTGTGTGTGTGTGTGTGTGTGTGTGACGGACAGTACATTTTTAGATGGTGGAGAATCTGAAAAGGGAGTGCAGGGAGAGCTAATGGGGGTGCCTGGCTCCGAGCCATTGTCACTGCCCAGGGAAAGGGGCTGGCTACAGGGCAGCCTGAGGGGAATAGGCCATGTCCTGTCCCAGGCTGGGCTCATGAGAAGTGATGAGACACCCAGCAGGGCCTTGGCTTCCCCTGTGAGCTCTCCTTCCGACCATTGTCAAGCATGCCCGTGATCACTCCACAGACATCT
Source organism: Homo sapiens (assembly GCF_000001405.40). NCBI lineage: Eukaryota > Metazoa > Chordata > Mammalia > Primates > Hominidae > Homo > Homo sapiens. Next base: position 107,899,870 of record NC_000009.12, read on the forward strand.
CTTGGGCACTATTGTGTTTGGACTCAAGGATCTCCCCCAACAACCCCCATGCCCAGCCATCTTCTCCTCTCATTTTGACTAAAGTTGCCCAGGCCTTCAGTTCCTCTAATTCCAATGGCTATCATCATGCAGATAACTCCCTCATCTTTCTATCCAGCCAAGACCTCTTCATGGAGCAGCAAGCTGATAGATCCACCAGCCTCCTGGGAATCTCTTCTTGGAAGCCCCTTGGGTACCTTCATCTGCTGCCCCAACTGGGAAGCCCCCCCTGAATCCAGCAGACACTGGCTCCTTCCACTTCCCATCATGCTGGGCACCACCCTATAGCATCGAACAGGTTGTCCTGTGGTTGTTCTGTGCCCATCTCCACAGTGCCATGTCAAGGCTTGGTGAAGTAGGTGCTCAGTGAATTCATCTAGGACCAAGTGTCTTCATCAATTAGGGCTCTGAGAAGAGCAGTGCCATGAAGAGGGCATCTCAAACTTGCAAATGAGTACATGTCAGAGTGTGATTTTAGCAAATTTGTAAAATTAAAGTTGTCACATGGGAACTCTGACAACCTCCAGCTGCTTTTCTGTGACAAGGAGATGAGTGAAAATGTGACCTGCATCCCCTCCTTCTTCCCCTTTCTTTCCAAATACCACTGTGGGTGCACAGTGCCATGGTAGTGGGCTTGCCAAGGGGTGGTGGGCTGAGGGAAGGGCAGGGCCTCTCTGATTACACATTCATTATGGCTTAACCACCTCTGCACTTTCCTGCAGAACTTAATACAAATCAGAGAGACCAAGGTGGTGGGCGAGCATCCTTGCGGCTTGGAAGGCATAGCATCTTCTGCTATGGTGACAGAGAAAGGATGTTAAGGCAACAAGGATGGGATCATAAAGTGAAAACAGCCTGGGGGCAGTGGCTCACACTTTTTGTCCCAGCTACTCAGGAGGCTGAGGCTGGAGGATGCTTGAGCCCTGGAGTTTGAGGTTACAGTGAACTAAGATCGCAACAATGCATCCCAGCCTGGGTGACAGAATATAAAGTGAAGACAGATATTCCCAAGCCAAGAGGAGTAGTCTGCCCATGCCTCACAGCAGGAAAGGGAAGGTGGATTGATTTACTGAGATTCCCAGGGGAACAGGCAGGGAGATAGACAGCAAGTGGCAGCAATGTGCCGGCAATACCTGCTAACTGTGTGGGAGCAAGTTGTGGAACATACTAGCAGGACAAAAGAAGAGATCTTATAAACTAGGCCTTGGCAGAACATCCAGAGAGATTATTTGGAGATACTTAGTATTTCCACTTGAACTTAACTCCAACCAAGAAGGATGGGGATCAGCACTTACAAAGCAGAATTGTGTAAGGTGGTTGCTCTCCTGGGTTTGCTTTTCCTCAGCGCCATCCCCTGCAAGTAATTGTGAGTAGGGCAAAACCTCTTTGTAACAATCTTAGGTGTGGAGGTGGAGAAGAGGCTCTAACTACACCTGGGAAGACAGAAGCAACGTTGTCATGAGGAAGGTTGGATTCACACTGTGGAATGAAAACTAAATACGTTTGTCTAGAACAAACAGACCTATATAGCACTTGCTACTTGCCAAGAACTCTCCCAAGTGCTTTATAGATATTAACTTAATCTTCAAAACGTCTCTATGAGATATGAATATTATGTCCTCATTTTGCAGATGAGGAAACTGAGGCACAGAGCATTTGATTTTACATAGCTCATGAGTGGCAGAGGTGGCCTCTGAACCCAGGAAATCTGCCCGAGAATCCATGCAGCTAGTCACTGCATTGTGCTTCTTCTTGCACGTGATAGACATATGTGCATCATTTTTAAAATGAGGTTTAAATACTGTTTTCCAAATTCTTCCTCAGTAAGGGATGGATAAAAAGTCTTAACCAGGTAAGCCTAGATGTTTAGAATTTATACAGGTTGCATGCAAGTTTTCCTTCTTTGTTGCACAAAGCTGGTTGGCCCTCCTCTGTGAGCCTCATCATTCTTATTATATTGTGTGTACACTGCCTTTGTGTTAGGATCTTTATTATTAACTTTAGCAAATTGGCAGCTTTACTAATGCATCTGCTCACAATTCACTCCAAATACTAGAACGGTTATAAATAGCATTTTCCTGAGTCCATTCAGACTTCTTTAACAAAAGACCATAACTATGTGGCTTGTAAACAACAGAAATTTATTTCTGATAGTTCTGGAGGCTGGGAAGTCCAAGATCAAGACACCAACAGATTGGGTGTCTGGTGAGGACCCGTTTCCTTGTCATCTTCTCTCTGTGTCCCCATGTCCTCACACAGTAGAAGGGGTGAGGGATCACACTGGAGATTCTTTTATAATGGAACTGCTCCCATTCATGAGGGCTCCACCCTCATCACCTAATCGCCTCCCAAAGGCCCCATCTCCTGATACCATCATATTAGGGATTAGATTTCAGAATATGAATTCAGAGATGGGGGGATATATGCTTTCAGCCCATTTCAGTATTCCTAAAGTCTTTTTCCTCTGAATACTCTGAAAAATATCTATGGCATTCTACATCTAATCAAGAATGGCTCTTCTTTCTGTGTTTTCATAAACTTGGAACCCTGTGTTTTTCTCCAGTCATGGTATTCCTGTTATCTGGCTAACCACCTCTGTCTTATGTATGCTGTGAGTGTGGTGTGGGTGATGGGAACTGTTGCCTCTATGCAGCCACCACCTCTGTGCATCTGCAGCCAAACATCTTTGGTGAGCCTGGGGCCACAAGATGCAAAAGAGGTGGATGCTTAGCCAAGGAGAGTAAGAATGGGTGGGTGTCTTCGGGGCACCTGTTTGCTAGCGTATCTGGTGATGACTAACCTCTGAAATTGATAGCTGCTGCTTCACCTTGGGCTTCCACATCCCATGCAAGTTCCTCTTCTGGTCAAATTTCTCCTGGAACCATACAGTGAAGGGGATTCTGAGAAATCTAGTTCCAGCTTACCTAAGTTACCACTGCAGAATGAAACACATTGTTGTGCTCTTTGAAAAAAAAATTTTTTTTTTTTGGTCAGCCATATTGCTGACTACTGTTTTGGAATGAGATGATGGATAAGTAAATAATCAGAAGTCTACTTGTTGAGCATGACATCGGAGAGCAAGGATGGTTGGATGGGTGATTTTAAGATATTTTCTTTAGCTAAGATAGCCTGATGCATTCATTCCCCGCAACCTCAACACCCAATGTGGCTAGCCCTGAGACTGGGGCCATAATCCTTGAGGTCCATTGGCTGAAGTGATCTTTGTCCTGGAAAGCGCTGGAATGAGTACAACCAATTTCTTGTTAATTCTCAGGCCTGTCTCGGGGCCTGAGAATTAGTAAGAAATTTATCTTGATCCTCTGGGCCTTGAATCAGTGCTCTTATCAAGTGGTCCATACATGTATCTTCCTATGGAGGAATATGCCAGCTCTTATTTGGTCATGAGCTCTAATTTTTATTAAGTAGAATCATGACAGACTTGCCTAATGGATAATATTGTTACAGTCATGAATGTCATGTCTTCAAAGCTGGATGTCTTTCAGTACTTTTCAGTGCTTATACAACAGATGTGAAAGTAGAACTCTTCAGTCTCTGTGCTGGGTAGGTAATAGGCATCAAGTATCTTAAAGCCAGGGGTCATCCATGCAGCATATGCTAAGAGACTGCTGGCATTGTAGACCTCAGCCAATAAGCGTGGCTTCAGAGATAGCCCGTGGACGGCACAGTGTGTGTTCCTTCAATGGGAGGCCGGTATGTGACTTCCACTGGTGTAGAAATGATAGGGCTGAAGTCCCCTTGCCTGGTGCCAGAATGACAAGAGAAGGCAACTGTGTCCCTTTCCCATTATAGGTGTCCTCTGCAGAAGCAGGCCTGAACTTCAGGTAGAGGGGAGAGATTTTACATTAGACTTGGCTGTAAAGTTGGTTATTATTCTAAATAAAACTTTTTAATTATTAAAATGAGAGTTTTGCTTGAGGTCAGGAGTTCAAGACCGGCCGGGCTAACATGGCGAAACCCAGTCTCTACTAAAAATACAAAAATTAGCTGGGCTTGGTGGCATGCGCCTATAATCCCAGCTGCTTGGGAGGCTGAGGCAGGAGAATCACTTGAATCCAGGAGGTAGAGGTTGCAGTGAGACGAGGTCACACCATTGCACTGCAGCCTGGGTGACAGAGTGAGACTCCATCTCAAAACAAACAAACAAAAAACAAAACACTGTTTTGTAAACTAAAGAGACTGGAAGACTTACTATCTAGGGAGAGTGTCTGGAAAAGTTATGAGACCAATCTGAGTGTTCCATTCCAACGGAGGGAAAGAACTCAATGAGGCTTATTAATGGACAACGATGGAAAGGAATACAACTGTTCTTTGCGTAAATCCTTTAGAATCTGCTCATCAGGTAAAAGCAGTTACCCTCTACTGCTTTGTCCAATTTAGAGTAACATGGAGGGATCACTCCATTTGGATGATAAGCCCCCTGGGCAGGTAATTTGAACTTTCTAAGCCTTAATTTCTTATCTGATATCTAAAGTGTAGAAAATAACAGTGAATACCTTACAAGAAACTTCTGAGTTTTAAATGAGACCATGCCAGGCACTTAGCAGATGCTCAATAAAAGGAGGTACCCATGTAGCAATCTCACCCTCTTGCATGAGCAAGGGGGTCCCCAGCTTAGACAAAATGACTTATTGAGTTGAGGACAAAGGCCAGGATAAAACTCAGTGGCCAGTAATGCTTGCCACTTTGACTAAACAGGAATTGGACTGCTCAGGTGCAAAATGAAGCAAGCAGTCTGCTCACTTGTAATGCTTTTCTCATCAGGTGCTGGGTTTAAATGGAGAAGTTGAAAGCTCTGGTGAAGGGTGCCTAGAAGTGAAATGCTAGGAGAACCTCTTCACACCAGCCTTTGTGGCAGGTCCATCTGGTCCCAGGGAGAAATCCTGGACTTAAGGGGGAGGATTGGTGGACAGACTGAGACATGGGTCCTTCCCAAGAGTTCAGGTTTTCACTGGTTCCTCTCCCTGAAAGAATGCTTGGAAGGAGGGCAGTGGAGTGGCAGAGTCTGGACTTGGAATTCCAACTCCCTGGTTCATGTTCCTACTGTGTAGTCTAATTTTGAACACAAGACTTAATAACTGTGCCTTGTTTTCTCTACCACATGGGACTAGAGTGAGGATAAAGTAAGATAGTACCTGTGACATGCACTCGGTAAGTTTCTTTTGCTTCTTCCTCTTTCCTCTAAATTTTCTGCTGTACCTCCCCTTAATTTCCAGAGCCCTGGCTCTCCTCAAAGACTCCTGTTGTCACTTCCTACTAGTTTGGGTTTCCCCTTATCTTGATTTCCATGCTTCTCCCTGTCCATTTGATCCCTAGCCCCTTCTGTGGTTGGCATCCTTGTTTATCTCCTGTTGCTCTCTCCTCCCTTCCCATTGCCATCTCATTCTTTTCTCTCCCTGTCTTCCCACTACTATAGTTTCTCTCTTTCTCCTCTCTTTCTACCTCTCCCTTTCTTTTCTGTCTGTCCCCATTCTCTGCTTTCGCATGACTCTGCACATTTGGACAGAAGTGTTTTCTACACAGATGCTTTCTCTCCATTTTCTTTGGCCATCTGGCTGCATCTGCAGGCTGAAGACAGGAAGGGGAACCAGGCTAAGGGTCTGACAGCCTGCCAGAGAGAGCAGAATTGTCATGGAAATTCTGTAACTCTGTATCCCTCTGTGTCCTTTGGGCCAGAGCATGACCTGCCTATTGGGGAAGATGACTCCTATCTTGGGCAATCAATTAATTGACACACAAACAAAAATAAAATACAAATTCTCAAAACACAAACAAAAAGAAAACTTCAATATCTCTATCCCCCAGATTAGAAAAAAATAATTCTTACATCTTGGCTTCTTTCTCTCCCTCTCTTTGTCCCCCTGCTGGGTTCAGCAGATGTTCTCTTGGAAGAGAGAATGGCTCTGCATTGAGCATCAGCCAGGACACAGGTCATTTAGGAAAGCTGGTGAAAAGAACCATTGCTTCAGTGCTCAATTCTCTTTGTTTGACACTTGCCATCGAAATAGGCATTGCAAATATTGATTGCAATTCACTTAAATCTGTAGACATAGAGATGAGTGAGGTCTGCCTTGCCACTCATCTGGCAAGGTAAGAGTCAGGTATAGTGAGGATGAGAAGTGATGACATACAATGAGATTCTGGCATGTTACTCGAAATAAAGCAGATCTTAAGAAATGTTACTTTTCTTTCCTTTAAATTATAGAAATAATGAGGAATCACAAATTGCCAGCTCACAGCATCTTTGAGGTGGGAAAAGCCTCTTACTTAACACAGAAATCCACCTCCTATGAGGCAGCCCTAAGAGCTGCAGGTGCAGTCTCTGCTTGACTGACCCAGCCACCAACTGGGAACTCAGGCCTTCACTGCTTGCATTTTTGATTAGCTGTCATTGCTAGGAGGTATTTTTCTTTCTCATTACTTCTACTTCCCCAGCCCTATCACCCAATCATTATTAGTTTTCTAGAGCCACACAGAAGAGTTCTGCCTGTTTCTCCTTGTTACAGCCCTTCTAAAATCTGAGGCCACTTTCTGTGACTTTTTGGTGTCCTTTCTCCACATTAAGCATCCCCCATGTGCTGAATCATGTCTTAGATGACTTGATTTCCTGGCCCCTCACTTGAAAAGTAACATAATGCAATGGAAATACCAGACAGAGACAGAACCCTGTGAAGAAAGCTGTGAGTGACTGGCTAAGTCACTTCTCTATGTCTCAGCTTTTTCTTTCTTTTTTCTCTCTCTGGTTTTTTTGTTTGTTTGTTTTTTGTTGTTTTTTTTTTTTTTGAAAAGGAGTTTCACTCTTGTTGCCCAGGCTGGAGTGCAGTGGCATGACCTTGGCTCACTGCAACCTCCACCTCCAGGGTTTAAGCGATTCTCCTGGCTCAGTCTCTGGAGTAGCTGGGATTACAGGCATGCCACCACCATGCCTGGCTAATTTTGTATTTTTAATAGAGACAGGGTTTCTCCATGTTGGTCAGTCTGGTTTCGAACTTCCAATCTCAGGTGATCTGCCCGCCTCAGCCTCCCAAAGTTCTGGGATTACAGGTGTGAGCCACCGCACCCGGCCCCTTTTTTTTTGAGACAGAGTTTCGCTCTCGTCACCCAGGCTGGAGTGCAGTGGTGTGATATTGGCTCACCGCAATCTCCACCTCCTGGGCTCAAGCAATTCTCCTGCCTCAGCCCCCTGAGTAGCTGGAATTACAAGCGCCCACCACTATGCCTGGCTAATTTTTGTATTTTTAGTAGAGACAGAGTTTCACCATGTTGGCCAGGCTGGTCTTGAACTCCTGACCTCAGATGATCCACCCATCTCGGCCTCCCAAAGTGCTGGGATTACAGGCGTGAGTTTTTTCATCAGTACAATGGGGGTGTCAATGCAATAAGCCAAGTACCGGGAATAGTGCCTTGCCCATCATAAGTTGTTAATTTTTACTTTCCTGACTACGCTATTCTGGATATGAGTGATTTGCTGACATCACTTCAAAGTGTGGTTTGGAAGTGTAACTGGCCACTTCCAGGAAGCCTGCACTGGATCCCAGTAGCAGACAGTATTTGGCTTCCTCATTTTGGATATACTGTACCAATAAGCACATGTGATCTTTCAACTATTTTGTGTAAAGAAAAATTTCCCTTTTATTAGACTCAATTCTATTCACCTGGGAACATAACATTCCCAAAACAGTTTGCATCCACCATTCCAGGGTGAAGGACCTCACCAGTGTTTGTGTGGCAATCAGGATTCCAAGGCAAGCTGCTGGGTCACACAACATAATCCGCAGACACTAGAAAAATCACAGCTGCAAATGAAGAAAAGAATTGCCAAGAGCAACCTGATCATCCTCTTCCAATTTTTCCTTTCATATTCATTTGAACTTGTAGACTTATTTGGCACCTGTGTTTGCTGGGTGATAGCAGGTGCCATAGGTTTAAGAAAGAAAAGATCATAGAACAATGTAGCATTGAGCAGATTCTCTCCATTGATTCTGTCATTGTTTCTGCACATGGAGAGATGATGTCAGTGATTCAGCTGCAGCTCTGAAATGCCTCGGTCCTCTTGAGGAATGCCAGTTCTCTGGGAAAAAAAATGAAAATCCTCTGGGCAGGGAGACCTATGCAAGTTCTTCAAAGCAATGGTGCTTAGACCCATAAGGAAAGAAGTATCCCACTCCAAATTCTAATTATTTCCATCTTTGTGTATTCTCCTTTTGTTTTGCTCTCCATGTGCATATATTTTTCGTGTGAGAGGTCATAACGGTTTCATGTAGTAATCTTTGTTTTTTCACTTACCATCATATCACAAAGAGCTCTCTGTATTACTACAAGATCTTTACAATGGATGAATGGTACTGTATTAGGTTCCTATTGCTGCTGTAAGAATTATTACCATAAATTTAGTGGTTTAAAGCAACTTAAATGTAGTGTCTCACAGTTCTATTGGTCAGAAATCTGGACCTATCAAGGCTGAGAGCAAGTGTCAGTGGCTCGGGTTCTTATCTGAAGGCCCTGGGAGGGAATTTGCTTCCATGTGTATTCAGATTATAGCAGAATTCAGTTGTGTGCTGTTGTAGAGTTGAGGTCCACTGTGTCCTTTCTAGTTGTCAGCTGGAGCCAGCCCTGAACTAGTGGCTTCATTCTGGTTCTTGCATGCAGGTCCCTACACCTCAAAACCAGCAATGGTACATCAAATTCTTCCTACTTGGAATCCCTCCCGTTTCTCCTCTGACATATTTGTCTGCTCCAGCCAGAGAAAATTTTCTGCTTTTAAGGTCTCACATATTAGATTGGGTCTATCTGGATAATCCCAGGACAATCTCTCTGTTTTTGTTTTTTTTTGTTCTTTTTTTTTTTTTTGAGACGGAATCTCGCTCTGTCGCCCAGGCGGGAGTTCAGTGGCGCGATCTCGGCTCACTGCAAGCTCCCCCTCCCGGGTTCACGCTATTCTCCTACCTCAGCCTCCCATGTAGCTAGGACTACAGGTGCCCGCCATCACGCCCGGCTAACTTTTTTGTATTTTTAGTAGAGACGGGGTTTCACTGTGTTAGCCAGGATGGTCTCGATCTCCTGACCTCGTGATCTGCCCGCCTCGGCCTCCCAAAGTGCTGGGATTACAGGCGTGAGCCACCGCGCCCAAACACCATTCTCCTGCCTCAGCCTCCCAAGTAGCTGGGACTACAGGCGCCCGCCACCATGCCTGGCTAATTTTTTGTATTTTTTAGTAGAGACGGGGTTTCACCGTGTTAGCCAGGATGGTCTCGATCTTCTGACCTCATGATCCGCCCAGCTTGGCCTCCCGAAGTGCTGGGATTACAGGCATGAGCCACCGTGCCTGGCCGATAATCTCTCTATTTTAAAGTTCATAACTTTAATTATCTCTGCAAAGTTCCTCTTGTCATGTTATGTAACATATTCACAGATTTTGGGGATTAGGACATGGACATGTTTGAGAAGGTCATTATTCTGTTCACCACAAAAGCTTAAAGTAATCATTACCTGTTGTTGGATATTGAGACAGTTTGTAGTGTTTTATTTGTTTGTTTGCTTTTGTAAATAACACTGCAAGGAATGCCTCCAATAGTTAGTTTTTGCTTTAGTTGGATTAGTTGGTTAGATAAATTCCTACAGGTGGAATTACTGGGTCAAAATTATGAAAATCTTTACAATTTGATTTGTAGTACTCTATTGCTTCCCCAGAGGAAGCAATATTGATACTACTACTTAGATTTTACTATTACTATTTACTATTGCTGTTACTAGTTAGATTTTACTATTACTATTTATATTTACTATTATTACTTAGATATTACTATTTAGATTTTATCTGTACACTTCTACCTTTTTCCCTAGCTATAAAAGGGGATGAAAGAATGCCCTATTAAGTAGGCATTTTGCCTTCCAAATAAATGCTAGACAAAGACTGTCATTATTTTTTGCTTACCCCCATAGTACTTCATAGAGTGCTGAGCTCATACCTGATAGCAGTAGTGTGCTAGAACCAGCAGGTACCAGTTGTAACAGTTGCGTGCATCGCTTTCTAACTTTGCACTCAGTGATGACAGCCCAGTAGCTTCAATCAGCCACAGTGGAAATATTTATACCATGGAAATGGGCAAACACTATAAGAAAATGCTTTATTTTTTCCTTGAGAGCCATTGGTTGATGGGTAATCCATGTGTCTTTTTAAATTTTGGTTTTGTAGTTGTCCTCGGGTTCTAGGAATTTACTTTTGTCAAGCACATTTTGGAAAGCACAATTTGAAAAGGAACAGAAAAGTTGTAAAAGAGACTAGATACTTTCAGATACAGCCTCATATAGAGAAACAAGTACATATTGGGAACAAGACAGATTTTGTTTCAAATATCGGTTCCACAAAAACTATTAGCTTTGGCATTTGATGGAAGTTGCCAGGCTTCTTTAAATCTCTGTTTCTTTAACTGAAAATGAGGAAATTCATACCTACCCTAAAGGATTCTTGGGCAAAGTAAATGATACATCAATATAAATGATACAAAAGGTACAAAAACAACAAATATAAGTTATTATAAGTAGGAATTCATGAAGTGGTTGACAACTCACTCCTATTCCTACTCAATAGATGGCTCTATTATATTTTGCCACTCCAAAAACATTGTTATTGCTACCTTATATTTGAACTTCACTTGCAATATCCAGAGAAGCAATGGTAAATGCATTCACAAAGAATAAGGCCTCTACTTCCCATTTTCTTTCCTTAAATTCTCAGGGAGATTTATAAATTGAGAATCAGGATGCGTGACTAATTTACATCAAGACCCTGGGCACTATTTGGATTAGTGTCCTATGTTTCAGAAGCAGTCATTTATTCAACAAGTATTTATTGAGCTTCTATATTTCTGGTAATAACAATAATTCCTTTCATTTTCATAGCTCTTAAGAATTTACAAAGCAAGTTCACACCCATGATTGTATTAAAACCTTGTAACAATGAGATGAGTTAGATTTTATTACCTCATTTTAAACATGAGGAAACTAGGGCTTAGAATAGAAAAGCCACTTTCCCAAGGTAGCCCAACTAGTAAAAAAAAAAAAAAAAAAACAGTGACATCAATCATTTCTTCACAGTGAATAAGAACAAAGATACCTGTCCACCATGTGAAAGCAAAGCACCTTGATTGGTTAGCCCAATTGGGTCAATTAATTTGTAATGATGCTTTACACAGCATAATTGCTATTCCCAAAAATAACTCACAGAATACTTCTTCATGTATTATCTCAACTGAGCCTCACAAAAACCTGTGAGGTGTAAGAAGAAAGAAATATGTGACCAAGACAGAAGAGAGGGAACAACTGAGCATCTACTGTGTACCCAACTTAGGTCCTATGAAATTGATTTGGATTTCTTAGGAGATTGAGTCAGAGGCAAAGATCATATAATGATGTATTCTTGGGAATTGTCATCTCAGGGAAGCAAAAGTGAGGGAAGAAAGGGAAATGAGATATAGAAAGATAAAAAGCGAATATAAGATGGCAGCTTATTGAGCTGAACACAGCTTCTCAAGAAAACATAGTAGGTTGCTTTGTCATGTGAGAAATCTCAGAAAGGGCTATGGAACCACTGTGATTTGGTCGATTCTTTCCTGTCTCTTGATTCTAATGAAGGACAAAATCTAACTCAAGGACATTGATGAAAAAAATGTGCCATGCACACTCTAAGTATAAAAAGCCATAGAATATTACCAAAGATTAAAAGGAATGTTTCATAATGATAAAAGAGTAAATTTGTCAGGAAGAGCTAATATTTGCAAATGTATATGCACCTAATTACAGAACTTTATGAAGCAAAAACTTATAGAATTTTTAAAAGTATGAGTCATAGTTATTTTAGTATTAAATACTCCTATCTAAGTAATTGGTGAGATACATGAAAAAATTAGTTACATTATAAAATACTAAACAACACTATAAACTTGTGTAGATAAAACTCATAGAACATTACACTCAACAATGGAAGAATACACTTTCCCTTTAATTACACATTGAACGTTCACTGATTCAGGCCACATTTTGGGCAACAAAATGAGTCTCAATAAATATAAAGTGATTTCAATCCTACAGAATATTTTCTGTACTCAACAAAATTAAATTATCAATGAGTAACAGGAAGATATCTAGAAAATTCTCCAATTAAAAAAAAAGTAACATGCTTATAGATAACTCTTGGGTCAATAAAGAAATCACAAAGAAATTAGAAAATGTGTTGAACTGAATTATAATTTAAAAAACAACGTTTGTGGGATACAGCTAAGGCAATACCTGTAGGGAAATTCATAGTTTTAAACGTTTATATTAAAGAAGAAGAAAGCTCTGTAAGTTCTGTGAAAGTTCTGAGATTTTTTTTTTTACTTGCAAGCTAACAAATTAGCTGGCACAGTTTCCTGAATGGTGGCAGAAGACATGAGACTCCTGGGTCAGAGACAAAGGACTTGATTATATACAGCAAGAGCAATAGCTAGAGTACCAGCATTGATACTGATTCCCTGAATCCCAATTCACAGAGGGTGATAATAAGAGGGCCAAATGACATCTAAATATGCAGTGGGTTGTGTTATAGGAGAAGAACCTCAAGTTCAGGAAACATGGATCTTTTATAATGGACAGTAGCCTCTCTGACTTTGCCCCAGAAGGAGACATTATATTTATTACATTGAACAGTGGACACACCTGCCTTTTGCTCTGGTGGGATTCGCTATCTTTATCTTTCAAGGTGGTTTTCCCTACGTTTATTTTCAAAAAGATAGTGTAGAACCAAGGCAGTCAGTGCTGCTTCTTGCAAGATGTGCAGAAACATGAGAGATCATGATTTGTCTTCAACAGTCTACACCAATGAACTAAACTTCCATTTTATGAAGCCAGAAAAAGAAGAGTAAAATTAACCCAAAATAAGTTGAAGGAAGGAAATAATAAAGGCAAGAACAGAAATAAATAAAATAGAAATGGTGTAAGCATAGACAAAAGATTGTTCTTTGAAAAGATCAAGAAAATTAATAAACTTTAAGCATAAATGATCAAGGTAAAAATAGGAAGACAAATAATATCAGGAATAAAAAAGACTGTACAGTTTCTACAAACATTCATACCAGTAAATTTGTATTATAAACCATTTTATAGAAATAAATCTGTCACCTTACATAGAACAGATAAATTTCTTTAATAATGCACCAAATTAAGTTTTTACTGTTGTAATGAATTATGACAAACTTAATGGCTTAAAACAGTATTCAGATTTATTATCTTAGAGTTCTGAAGATCTGAAATCTGAACTGTTCCTCACTTGGTTAAAATCAGGGTATCAGCAGGCCTGCATTCCTTCTTGTGGTTCTAGGGAAGAGTCTACTTTCTTCCTTGCCTTTTCCAGCTTCTAGAGGCCACCTATATTCTTTGCCTCATGGCCCAATTTCTCCATAGTCAAAGCCAGCAATATTGAGCTGTCTTTTTCTTGCTGCCGTCTCTCTGGTTTTCTCTCTTTTGTTTTCCTCTTTCATTTGTAAGAACACTTGTGATTGAATTGGGCCTACTCAGATAATCCAGGAACATTTAGCCATCTCAAATTCAGTTCATTAGCAACTTTAATTTAATCTGCAATTTTATTTCCCTTTGCCATGTAACATAGCACATTCTCAGGTACTGGAGATCAGGATGTTAACATCTTTGGGAAGCGATCATTATGCCTACCATTCACATGTTACCTGAAATGAAACTAGAAGAAATAGAAAATATAAATAGCCCTACATTTACTAAAAATTAAAATAGTGATTAAAAATCTGAAAAGTCTGGGCAGAAATGGCTTTTTCTAGTGAATTCCATCAAACAATTGAGGAAAAAAATATCAATTGTACAAAATGCTTTAAATAAGAGGTAAAGGAAGGCTTTCTAACTTGTTTTATAAGTCCAGCATTGTCTTGATACCAAAACCAGTCAAACATATAATGAGAAAAGGGACTGGTATTTTGAGACTAATATCTAGGATGACCAAAAATCTAGGTTTTCCTGGGCCTTATCCCAGCTTTAGCACTGAAAATCTCATTTCAGTGTCAGGCACCTTATATAATATTCCTAATAGACACAGACACAAAAATTCTTAGCAAAGTATTAGGACATTGAATTCAACAAGCAATATGTAACAAGTATAGTACAATATATCCCAGTGGGACTTATTTCAGGAACATAATATTGCTTTAAAGTTCAAAAATCAAGTAAAGACGTTTAACATATTAACAGAATAAAGGGAAAAGAGAATTTTTTTCAATATTTGCAGAAGAAATATTTGACAAAATTCAAAACTCATTTGTAATGAAAAAAAAAAAAACCTCTCAGCAAACTAGGAATAGAAGGTACTTCCTTAATCTGATAATGACCATGTATAAAAACCTCCTACTTACATAATAATTGATGGTGAAAGATTAGATTTTTTTCCTCTAAGATGAGAAATAAGGCAAAGATATTACCACTACTGTTCAATCTTATACAGTCTTTTATAAATATATAACAATAACTATAAGAATAAAATAACAAATATAGCAAAATATGTACATGACTTCTACATTCAACACTAGTAGGCATTGCTGATAGAAATTAAAGAAGATATATAAAAAAATACCGTGTTCCTTATTTTTAAAAATTGACGTAAGATTTTAATTCTCCTAAAACTGATCTATTGATCCAATGTAATCATTTGAAAATGTAATAACTTAGATTAGCCAAAACAATTTTGAGAAAGAGAAAGCTGAAGAATATCTTCTACCTCATTTTAAGACTTAATATAGAGTTATAATCAGGATCATATGATATTGGCATAAGGATAGACATAAGGATCAATGAAATAGACTAGGCAGTTCAGAATACATCGTTGATTGATTTCAACAAAGGAAGCAAGGCAATTCAGTGAGGAGAAGATAATCTTTTCAATAAATTGGACTAAAACAATTGAATAAAATGAAAAAAATCCTTGGTCTTTATGTCACACAACAAATACAAATTAATGTAAAATAGATCATAGACATAAGAGGTGAAGCTTTAAATCTTTTAGAAAAAAATAATAAGAGAAACCCTCTCAACACTGGTGTAGGCAACTATTTCTTAGACAAAAAAAGCATTAACCATAAAGAAAAAATATTTATGTCATCAAAATTAAAATCTTTTGTCCTTTATAAGACACCATTTAAAAATGACAACACAAGCCACATACTAGAAAAAAAATCATATGACATACATCTGATGAAGGACCTATATCCAATGTATTTGTCAGGGTTCTCTAGAGAAACAGAAGCAATAAAATGCAGATACAGATAAAGATATAGATATGTCTAATAATATACACTATTTGTTATTCTGAGATTTATTATGAGGAATTGGCTCCTGTGATTATGGAGTCTGAGTAGCCCCACAGTCTGCTGTCTGCAAGCTGGAAACCCGGGAAAGTTGGTGACGTAGTTCAGTATGAGTCTGAAGGCTTATGAAGCAAAGAATCTGGTGGTGTAAGTCGTAGTCCAAGGGCAGGTTAAGACCAATGTCTCAGCTCAATCAGTCAGGCAGAATGAGCAAATTCTCTTTTCCTCTGCCTTTTTTTTTTTGAGACGGAGTCTCACTCTGTTGCCCAGGGTGGAGTGCAGTGCCAAAATCTTGGATCACTGCAACCGCCGCCTCTGGGGTTCAAGCAATTCTCTGCCTCAGCCTCCCAAGTAGCTGGGCTTGCTGGCGTCTGCCTCCATGCCTGGCTAATTTTTGTATTTTTAGTGGAGATGGGGTTTCACCATCTTGGCCAGGCTGGTCTTGAACTCCTGACCTTGTGATCCACCCACCTCGGCCTCCCAAAGTGCTGGGATTACAGGCGTGAGGCACCATGCCCGGCCTCCTATGCCTTTTGTTCTATTCAGTGCTCAGTGGATTGGATGGTGCCCACCTACATTGGAAAGGGCAATCTGCTTTACAGAGTCCAACTCAAATGCTAATCTCATCCAAAAACATCCTCAAAGACACATCCAGAAATCATTTAGCCAAATATGTGGCCCATAATCTGGTCAAGTTGACATAAAAAATTAAGCATTATATCCAGGATGTGTATGTGTGTATGTGTGTGTATCTACCTGCCTGTCTTTCTACCTATCTACCTACCCATCTTACAACTCAGTAGTAAGAAGACAAATAGTTCTGATTTTTTTTAAAGTGCAAACAATTTTGAGAAACAATTCACAAAAGATATAGGAATAACTAATAAGCACATAGCAACATTAACCATCAGATAAATGCAAATTAAAATTTCAGTGAGATACCACTACATATCCACTATAATGGCTAAAGCTAAAAGGACTGACAATATTAAGTGTTGGTGAGATATTTGGAGCAATCAGAATTCTCAGACATCGCTGGTAGAAATGTAAAATGGTAAAAGAACATTGAAAAACTCTGGCAATTCTTCTATAAAGTTGAACATACATTTACCATAAAACTCAGCAATTCCACTCCTAGGTTTTTATCTAAAAAGAAAGAAATACATATTCTTACCTCAGACTTGTAAATGAATATGCACAGCAATTTTATTCATAGGACCCCCAAAGTGGAAACTATTCAAATGTCAATCAACTGTTACATAAGTAAACAGATTGTGATATATTCATACAAATGAAATTCTCTTCAACATGAAAAGAAACAAACTACTGATGGAAGCAAGAACATGAATGGATCTGAAAACCATGCTGAGTGAAAAAAACTTTACACAATACAGTAGATGATCTATGATTCCATTTACCTTAAACTCTAGAGCTGAAAAAAGTTGGAAAATGGAAAATGGAAAAAAGTTGGAAAAAGCTGAAAAATGGAATCTATGATTCCATTTACCTTAAACTCTAGAGCTGAGAAATCAGATCCTTAGTTTCATGGGCTGGGACTGAAGGTAGAAACCGACTGCAAAGGGGCATGAGAAGCTTTCTGGGTTGTTGGAAGTTTTTTTTTTATCTTGATTGGGGTTGTGACTACTAGGTATGTAGGTGTATGCATCTTGTCAAAACACATCAAACTGTACACTTAAAAAGAATGCATTTTATTGTATGTAAATTATACGTTGAAATTTTGATTAAATAATATCAAGCCTGCTGTTCCCCACAGATCTCTCTGTATACCAGTAAGTGCTCCCTGGGATCCAATAAGGAAGCTTACAAACCAAATGATCTCTTTGCCACTGGGATAATCCAATGTCCTGAGTGGACTCCTGCATTATCCTCAGTTATAGTCACTCAAGTATATTTAGAAATGCCTGGGCATGCCTTTGGGGTCCAACTAGGTATTTTATCACAAGGAATCCCAGAGCTTCCTGTGGAAGAATGTACCATCAGAAAGGATAGAGTAGGCCATCCAAGCTTTGTACACATTGAGTAGTCTGAGGAGTTTGGTCACAGCTTGGGCTCTGCCACTTAGATCACTTCTGGGGCAGCCTGCCTCCTAGGCAGATGGAGCTGAAGTACAAGGGAGTAAAAACGCCGAGGACTGGTCTTCTATGATTCCTACAGGAGAATGAGCCACAGGGCATTAGTGTGTATGGCTTTCTGTGCTTGAGAAGGCTGGTAG